>NC_000020.11:5217850-5369365 GCF_000001405.40 Homo sapiens | reverse complement strand
ATTTCTATATATAATTTGGTCTATTTCTGAATTCTAACCTATTCTACTATTCAATCTGTATATTCTTAATCCAATACTATAACATTTTAATTATTGTGTCTTTACAGGATGCATTAGTCTGTTTCTATGCTGCTGATAAAGATATACCTGAGACTGGGTAATTTATACAGGAAAAAAGTTTAATGGACTTTCATTTCCATGTGGCTGGGCAGGCCTCACAATCATGGTGGAAGGTGAAAGTCATGTCTCACATGGCGGCAGACAAGAGAAGAGAGAACTTATACAGGGGAACTCCTCTGTATAAAACCATCAGATCTCATGAGACTTATTCACTATCACGAGAACAACATGGGAAAGACTTGCTCCCATGATTCAATTACCTCCCACCAGGGAAACTTGTGAAGTTTCATAAAGAACCTTGGAATGTGTATTAGTATAGCATTGAATTTAATATTAAATTTAGGAAAAGGGACAATTTTACAAAACAGGGTTTTCTCACCAACAAATATGCTAATATTCTCCAACTTTAAATGTCCTTTCTATGTTCATCTGAAAATTGTATAAACTTTTAATTGATCGAGACACAAAGGATTGCCAGCCCCAAACAGACTCCTTCACTCTCCTTTTTAGTCACTGCTCCCCCAAGCGTAAACATGATTCTCCATTAGTAAATTTTAATAATTGCATTTAGTTAGAACTGGAATATTTTGTTCACATTTATTTTCAAGTAGTTTACAGATTTTTGTACATCTGGCAATTGAGATTTGTAAAAAATTAATTGCTATAATTGCTATGATGTATGGGAAAATCATTTTTTCAATTTTTAGTTTATATTTGACAAATATAATAAACTTTCTCAAAAGTTCTAACCATTACTGTTGCTGTTGTTGAAGTTATTGGTAGACCATCATGTTATCTGCAGACAGTGACAGTTTCAGCTCTTTGGTTCCTGAATAAAGCTCTCTGCTCACCAAACTCTACCCAGGCTCCTCTGAGCTCCCTTCTCAACTAAGCCCCCACATTGACACCTCTCCTGTCTTCAGCCTGCCTAGCCCATTTTTAGCAAGAATCCTGCTAATTCAGTTTAGAGAAAATCCCTCACCCTTGATAATTGATTATTCTGGCCTGTCTTTGGCAAGAATCTTGTTAAGTTGGTTCAGCAAGAATCCCCCCACCCTTGGTGTCTCCTCTTAGTAATTTCCCATCTACTGACTCCTTCTCAGTGCTCATCAGCTATAAATCCCCCGCTGTCTTTGCTGTATGTGGAGTTGAGCATCTCTCTCCCTGATTGGAATAGTCTTAAATGAAGCATTTCTTAACATTTTAACAAGTGTCAGAATACTTTTTTCTTTAACATTCCTCATTTTATTTCACTAGCTAGACTGCCCAGTGAAACCACCTTTGCAAAGATTATGGCAATGCAAGAAGTCTAGCATGGCTAACCCCATCTTGCCTCTAACCTCACAAGCTGGCTGTTTTCACTCATTACTGGGTGTAGGCCAAGTTAACTGTGGGAGGAATTTAGCTGATACTTTAACTTGAAAGCAAGGATGGTAATAATAGCCCCTCCCTAGAACTAACCCCCTTCTTGCTCAAGGACCTAAAACAGCCTTTGTAAGACTAATGAAAGGCCATAAGATTATGATTATGGAAAGGGCCTGAATTCTGCTAAAATGTAGGTATAATTTCTATAATCCCTAACTGCTCAGAAGTTATGTAGCCAGAGGTCACAAGATTTGTGACTTCCTCAGTTGTTCCTATAGATAACATCACTGCTGTAGACCTACAATTGGTCTTTTGAGATGTTTTTCAGATTTTTGCATTCTGGCAACCCCACCTGGATTCACATAACTCATGATTCAACTGGTCTTGTGGCCACCCCACCACCACCCAGAAGTGGGCTCAGTGCACAAGGACTGTTTTCCACACCCCTATCATTGAATTCCTAGCCAATCAGCAGCACCCATTCCCTATTTCCCCACCCACCAAACTATCCTTGAAAAACCCTAACTCGGAGATTTTGGGGAGACTGATTTGAGTGATAACTCCAGTTCTTCTACATGGCTGTCCTCACATTAATTAAACTGTTTCTTTACTGCAATTCTACAGTCTCAGTGAATTGGTTTTTTCTGTGCAGTGGGCAGGAACACCCCATCAGGCAATTACATCAGCATATTGATGAGCAGCATCTGTGGACAGTGAGGTCCTTGTCTTATCATTACCTTTGATGGGGATAGCGCTACTGTTTCACTAGCATATGTCTAGGCTTGTTTCTTTTTCCTGATATTTCCATTTCTCATTTCCTCAGGTTGTGGGCTCTTTTTTTCTCCTCCTTTTGTCTTTCTTTCCTTCTTGCTGCTTGTCCTCCTAAAAATCCTACTTAAAGAATATAGAGGGGCTGGGCGTGGTGGCTCACACCTGTAATCCCAGCACTTTGGGAGGCCGAGGTGGGCAGATCATGAGGTCAGGAGTTTGAGACCAGCCTGGCCAGCATGGTGAAACTCCATCTCTACCAAAAAAAAAAAATTAGCCGGGCATGGTGGCACGTGCCTGTAGTCCCAGCTACTCAGGAGGCTGATACAGGAGAATTGCTTGAACCCAGCAGGTGGAGGTTGCAGTGAGCCGAGATGGTGCCACTGCACTCCAGCCTGGGTGACAAAATGAGACTCCATCTCAAAAAAAAAAAAAAGAATATAGAGCTCCCATATTTAGCACCCATATCCTTAAGCTTTCTCTCATATTTTCTTCCTTTTTTCTGGTTTATTGGTGAAGTTTATTTCTCATCCATTTTTAAAAAAATTTTAGCAACTGTATTTTTAATTTAAAAAAACCCTTTTTCTTATTCTCTGGTTGCTTTTTTCACAGTGGTTCTTTTTATATGAAATTATTTTATAGCAATAATTTCTCAAAATGTTCCCCAGGTAATTATGTGAATATTTTTTGTTTTGTTTTGTTGCATTCTTGAATAAACAGCATGAGGTTAAACTAAGGCAGACAGGAAGAGTGGAAAGGAGATAAAGGATTTGAGAAAAACTAGGAAACTAGAATTAATGGTACTGAGGGAGGGATTGAGGTGAAGAGTGAAGAAACAGGGAAAGACAGTAAAGTTAGGGTTGAGGTTTTTTGTCTAAGCTATTGCTGGAATTCAGGACATGTGGCCCCCAAATATGACTGTAGGAGACCAGAATATGCCACCCCAAATATTCCTCTTCTGCATGAGGATTATTTTGAGTGGATTATTTTGAGAAACTACAGAACTACTATGAAAACAAGAACAGAAGTGTCACCCTTTTGTTAGAGATATTTACATGTATAAAGGAAATCTCCATTTATAATGGTGTCTCCCTCTCTGAACCAAGAAGAGAGGAATGATTCTAATTCCCTAGGAGCTCTCATCAGTGGAGAAGGCATGAGCTTAACGCCACATAACAAGCCTTGTTCATGTTTACTGAACTTTTCCTGGTCACCTCATCTTAACAGGGCTTTCCCCACACCCTTCTTTCTTTATTTCAGCAAATGATAGTATTTAAGGCTGGAAGTCAAAGCCACCTCTCTAGGTTCTACTTTAAAGATTTGCTAATGTTTCCCTGGGTATCTCCCATGGGAACGTGTTATTCCATTCTGTTTGTTTTTCTTTTGTTACAAATAAAGGGAATAACTATTTTTCCTCCCTTATACTATTTAGTTATTTATTTAATAGCTCCTGAAAGTAAGGTCTGAAAATTAGCTAACAATGTTTAGAAACAATTTTTTTACTCTCTGTTGTTTTGCTTTGATAAGAAAAAAAGTTTTCACAGATTTAGTGTAAAGATCAAATTGGCTATTATTAGGGATTCATGAACTAGGCAGCATCTCATCTAAATATTTAGAAAGGGCACTCTATTGGGCATGGAAGAACAGTCAGTTTGCAACTGTCCAACACGTTCTTCCTGCCTGCTGCACAAATAAAGACCACGGCATTGCAGTGAAGAAAGAGTTTCATTGACCCAAGGCTGGCCATGCCACATGGGAGAAGTTATTACTCGACTCATCTCCCCAAAAATTCAAGGATCAGAGTTTTTAAGGATAATTTGGTGGGTAGTGGGTGGGAAAGTGGGGAGTGTTGATTGGTCAGCTTGAAGATGAAATCAGAGACAGCTGAAGCTGTCCTCTTGCACTGAGTCATTTCCTGAGTGGGGGCTACAAGACAAGATAAGTCAGTTTATTGGTCTGGGTGGCATCAGCTGGTGCATCAGAATGCAGGGTCTGTAAACTATCTCAAGCACTGATCTCAAGTTTTACAACAGTGACTCTCAAACCTTAATTTTGAATCTTGTGACCAATTTGTTAGCTCTGCAAAGGCAGTCTAGTCCCCAGACAAAAATGAGATTTCTTTTGGTAAAGGGCTGTTATCATCTTTGTTTCAAAGTTAAACTATAAATTAAGTTTCTCCCAAAGGTATTTTGGAAGAAATACCTTTGTTTATGATCTCTCTATTCTCTCTCTCTCTCTCTCCTGATTTCTTAAAAGGTCAGATAAACAAGTGACTTTTGGTTTGGCGGTATAGAACTTTAGCATGAGTGACTACATTTTGGTTTAATCTATTCTGTTGGAGCCTTGTGCAGGAGCTCAGTCCAAAAGAGTGAGCTCTCACAAATTTCACTGAACAATTTTAAAATATTTTTTAGCACGGCAAAGCACTAAGGTATTGCTTCCTCGGTGAGGAATCTTAAGAATGAGGAAGTCTGTGGCAGACAGCCTGTTTGTTTCATGTTGATGGCCGCTCAGTGCCCCCAAGCTTTGTCATACATTTCACACTAGAAATAAAAATAAAATCCTGAGCCCCCCAGCAGACTGAAACAACCCCCTCTTGGCCAAGGGGACCCAAGAGAAACCTTGAAAACTGAGTTCCTGGCCATGATGGGATGGGAGGTCAGACACATCTCATTATATTCTCACCTTTACTAACCACCATTAGTCTTTCTTTCCTAAGGGCTAAACAGAAACCAGCCCTTTGCAAAGACTCGCTCCACCTCTAATATCAACCAACTACCTGATGCTTCCCCTCCCCTTTGAGGTTACAATACAACAACCAACCAGCATTCCTTCCTGATAAGAAACCCCTGACCACAGGGTGGTTCTAGCCAGTCTGTGGAGAATGTGCAGTGAGGGTTTTCATATCCTCTGCTTCACCTTTTGATGTCAAAAGCCTGAAAACTGCACCCTTGGATCATGCTAATGCCACCATTTTTTGAACAGGGGACCCATGAAGATGCATGAAGCTCAATTGCGCATGTGCACGTTTCTTCATAAATATTCATGACTCCTAAAGCTTATTAAATATGTATATTCAGGCACATCACTCAGCATAAATTCCTATTCCCTTTGTCTCTCCCTTGAAATGCTTGTTTCTGGCTTCTGGCTGGAGGCTACGATTCTCAGCCTGACAGAATGGCCACTCTGCAGGCTGCAGCGCTTTATGCAAAATAAAGCTCACCTTTCCAAATTTATGAACCTTGTCATCCTTCAGTTGACAACACTGTGGGAAGATCGAGTATTACAACATCAAGTCGGACACTTAAATTTGTTAAGAGAGTAAGTCTCGTGTGTTTTTTACCACAATTAAAAAAAAAAATACTCAGGCAATTGCTTTTTTTTTTTTTTAAGCTGGGGTCTCACTATATTGCCCAGGCTGGTCTAAAACCCCTGGGCTCAAGCAATCCTCCTGACTCTGCAGGCGTGAACCACGTCTCACCCAGCCAGACAATTGCTTTTAAAAAAATCTGTGAACAGCCTCTATGTTTTTATAAACCAAAACTCATAATCTAAGGGAAGCTTCATGGTATTGTGGAAAAGACACCAGGGGCTCGGTTTTGCTTCTAACCTTCTCCTTTGGCAAATTTTTTAACTACTGTGCTCAGTTTTCTTATCTGCAAGATAGAGATCAAAGAATGCCCTTCACAGGATTATAAGTGAGGATTGATATAACACTGATATACAGGCAAATATTAGTTATTATTTCAGTTATCTTGTAATTCTTGACAATAATTTCCTAGTCACAGCTTTATTATTTCCATTTCTCAGTTTTTTTCTCATGTGAAATTCTCAGCCTAGTGTTTCTGTGAATTAACAAGCACTCTCAACAATAGAAAAAAAAAAACTAAAGGAAAAAAGGGCTCTCGAGAATTCTTTCTATTCCCTGAATTCTCTCATTAAGCCTTATAACAACTGGAGCATTTACCAAAATTGCTAGTTGACTCTAATTTAATATGCCTGCATGAACACAAATTCTTAATAATTTTGTGTTTGATTTCTGCTTCTCTTGGTAGTCTCAGGTGCTGGCTGAGAGTCAATATTTCACAGGAGCACCAGAAAGCATCTGAAATGACACGTCACTGAGCTCACAAGAGTGTCCAGTTCAAGGTTACTGAAGTCTGCCTTGACAAATAATTGCAGATGGTATCAGGAAATCAACTTTCCCCTCACCTTCTGCTGAAAAAAGGAACTATGAAAACAAGAGGATTGTTCATTGGGTGTGGTAGAAACGCTACATAGAATGACCATGGAAAGCTAAATATTATTATAATAATAATAGTATTATAATACTATCACAGCTTGAGGTTGCAAAGCACCTTCCTTCAGACCGAAGTCTGCCTCTGATGGGAACAAATCTTTAGCATAATAAAGCACCAAATTTATGTACCCTCCAGTGGAGAATCAAGCATAGAATCAAGAACTACCTCACCATCTCCACCTCCCTGACACCAGATACCCCCTGGATGGAGCTAGGACCCTGGGGGAAGAGGGTTAGGAAAGAGAAGAGGTAGGGAGACCAGAGTCAAAAGGGACTATGGGTGCCATATGAGGCTCATAATTCTGTGAGTTCAGAGGGAAACCCAATGGGAAGAATAAGGAAATGTCTCCTGCCATCCTCCATATGCTCTGTGCTGTCATGACTGACTACCAATAGGATTGATTTATTCCTAATAAAGAAATCTATCATCCCACTAGGTATTCAAGGGATAACAATGGGATAATCGTATCAACAGTCACCATTTATGTATGCTTTCTCTGCCCAGACAGTAGATTAAGACTTCTACATTCCGTATATCATTTAATCCATTAAATTATGTATTAGTTATCTATTGCTACATAACACGCTACCCCAATAGTTAGCAGCTTAAAACAATAAACATTTATTGTCCAACACACAATTTCTGGAGGTCAAGAATGTGAGAATGGCTTGGCTGGTGGTGGCTCAGACTCAGAGGCTCTCGTAAGGTTCTAGTTAAGATAACAGCCAAGGATACTGTCATCAAAAGGCTTTACTAGGGTTCATGGATCTTCTCTGTATGCCTGGCAAGGTAGCACTGTTAGCAGGAGATCTCATTTCCCTGCCATGTGGGCTGTTTGAGTGTGGGGCTACTTGAGTGCCCTCACAACATGGCAGCTGGCTTCCCCCACAGCAAGAGTCAAGAGAGAGCAAGTCACCATATGTTTTATGACCTAGCCTCAGAAGTCACATTCTGTCATTTCCATAACATCCTACTGCTTACACAGGTCAGCTGTATTCTGTGTGAGAGGGGACCACATGAAAGCATGAATACCAGGATGGGTGATCACTGGGGAACACTTTGGAGTCTGGTGACCTTGGGAGAGTGTGATTATTCCCATTTCACAGTAGAGCAAAGTGAGGCAAAGAAAGGTAGGTCCGTTTGCCCAAAACACACAGCTGGTGTGTGGCGGAGCTGGGATTTGAATCCCGGTCTCAGTGACTCCAACACCATGCAGAGGCAACACTGAAGCCTGAACCGTGGTTAAGTGAGAAGTCGGGTTGGGGCTTTAATACCATCAGGGCATGATGAGCATATGGGTTTCATGTATTGGCCTGGCAGTTCAACCTCCACTTGCAACATTGATTCCATGACAAAATAAACTCTAAATCCCAGATACACAACCTGCACATTTTGGAACCCAACCTGCTATGCTAGTAAAATGAGAATTGCCTGTGTCATCAATTTCCAAGCATTCATCTGCAGTAAATAGTTATAATGTGCACTTAAATGTAGAGCAGGTATCTCACTGATTTATATCCACCAAATTGCTAACGGGTCAATTATGAATGTTATATTTTGGAGGAATAACTATGCCTGTCATTCTCTATTTATCAATAACGTCTAAAGTTTCTTCCAACTCTAAAATGTCCTGATTCTTTGATCACAAGAAATTAAGCTATTTTATTTATTCTCTACTTTTTAGTTTCCTATAAATATGCAAAACTACTCATTATCAAGAGAACTACTTGAGGACATTAAAACTGGAACTGTAAAAGCCCGAGAGAAGCTCATTTTATTCATTAAAATTCAGAACCTTATTAAATGCTCCTTGATTTTGGCATAAATACTTCATGTAATGGTTTATATGTCTTTTGTTGCATCTGCCAGCCTTTTCCAGTCTGCATTCTGAACACAATAAAAACTAATTTTTCTGCCATTCTGTTTATCTAGAGGAACACTTTTACACATCTCTAAGGCAGTGGTAATTTGCATTCATAAGAAAGATTCCGGCTGGGTGCGGTGGCTCACACCTGTAATCCCAGCTCTTTGGGAGGCCAAGGCGGGCGGATCACGAGGTCAGGAGATCGAGACCATCCTGACTAACAGGGTGAAACCCCATCTCTACCAAAAATTCAAAAAATTAGCCGGACGTAGTGGTGGGCGCCTGTAGTCCCAGCTACTTGGGAGGCTGAGGCAGGAGAATGGCCAGAACCCGGGAGGAGGAGCGTGCAGTGAGCCGAGATCGCGCCACTGCACTCCAGCCTGGGCAACAGAGTGAAACTCCGTCTCAAAAAAAAAAAAAAAAAAGAAAGATTCCAAGTTGTACAGAATCCTGAAGTGACTTCTAATTTGCCAATGGAAAAATAATTATGTAACAATATCAAGGTGACTTTGGTGTATTTTGAAAACTAATATATTGTATAACAATAATTACTTAGTAACTTTAATCCAAATGCTCCATTCTTTGCTTAGGCTAGACAATGGGAAATTTGTCATTTAAAAGGAAAATTAAGATTGTAAAATGTAAGTGACTCTCTCATCTACTTTCTCAAAGAATGACTTTAAATAATCAATTTATTATTCCATTTTCTGTTTTACTATATACCTCCTAACATTTAACCTTCTTGTTTGTGATTACTTTCCACTTTAAAAAGTAGGTAGATTTATAAAGGACAATTGCTTACTAGAGATTAATTAGTCAGAAAATGAGAACAGCTGAGTTTTCAACCAATTTCATAAATGCTGAAAGTTACAATAAAATGTGTTGGTGAGTGAGGAAGGTGAATTAATCCATCAGTCAAGAAGCAACTGTGATACTCTTACCATGGGCTAGGTCCTACATGAACCTTTCATAAATTCTGAGAGTCTGGAAGCCCTGGGGGCATGGCGGTCAACCAGGCCTCTTTTACTGCCATCATCCCTACATTTTAGAACATTTTTGGGCCGATGGTCTTCAACTTTTTTATTGTAAGCTCACCAAAGAATTTTGAAAATCTCTGTCTCTTCCTGGTATGATCAGAATGTGTGCGCCCCCCAAAATTCATATGTTGAAACTTAATTCCCAATGTCATGGTATTAAGAAGTGGGGCCTTTGGAGAGGTGATTAAGTCATGACGGTGGAGCCCTCATTAATAGGATTAGTGCTCTCACAAAAAAGGCCTAAGAGCTTGTTGCCCCTTCCACCATATGAGAACACCACAAGAAGGCACCATCTATGAAGCAAAGAGTAAGCCCTCTCTAGAGCTGGTGCCTGGAACTTGGACTTCCCAGCCTCTAGAATTCTAAGAAATAAATTTCTGTTGTTTATAAGTTACCTAGTCTAAACTCTTCTGTTATAGCAGCCCAAATAGACTAAGACACAAACCCACCCAAATATTGTTAAGTTGACAGACATCTCAATATTTTCATCCTAAGTTTAAATGGTTGAAAAACAATACAATTTCTGGCATATTGAAAATATGGATAGTTAAATAAAAGTGTTATACTTTTATAACCAATATCTATCTGTTCTTTTCTTTTTTTTTTTGAGATGGAGTCTCTCTGTGTCGCCCAGGCTGGAGTGCAGTGGTACGATCTTGGCTCACTGCAAGCTCCGCCTCCCAGGTTCATGCCATTCTCCTGCCTCAGCCTCCTGAGTAGATGGGACTACAGGCACCCACCACCACACCCGGCTAATTTTTTTGTATTTTTAGTAGAGTCAGGTTTTCACTGTGTTAGCCAGGATGGTCTCAATCTCCTGACCTCGCGATCTGTCCGCCTCAGCCTCCCAAAGTGCTGGGATTACAAGCATGAGCCACCACACCCGGCCTCCCTATCTGTTCTTTAATCCATCCAGGGCACCACTGCCTTGTCTGTCCTTTGATTAAAACATCACTTGCCATCCTCTAAAGAACTCACCTCTCTCTGCCAAGCTATCTTGTAAGAAATAACTACACACATGAGTAGATAAATATTTGCTCTTTATCTGAAGCCAAACTTTGTGTCTTCTGATACATTCCCCTTCACTCACAATCAAAAAAACATTTGGCAGTCCATTGATAATGTATTCACATTGATGTCAGTCCATGACTATGCTTCTGAAACCTCTACCAGTACATTTCGAGCATTTTGGACATGTTGCGAAGTGCTCATTCAATTCTTTGCCCGATTTTCTGTTTGGGTGCCCAGTGTTTTCTTATCAATTTGCAGAAGTTCCTTCTCTATCCTGGCTATGAGTTATTTGACAGACATGAATATTGCAAATATTATTTTCCACTATGAGGCTCAACTTTTCACTCTCTAAATAGTCTTTTGGTAAACAGAAATTCTGAATTTTAACGCAGTCCAAATTTTCAATTAGTATCCTCTTTAAGAAAGCTTTTGTAACCCCAAGGATATAAAGACATTCTTCTACATTTTCTCCTACAAATTTTATTGCTTTAATCTTCCACATTTAGATCAACAATTTACCTGAAATTGATCTTTGTGTAAGGTGCAGAAGGTAAAATGTAATCACCTTCCACCTGAGTGTGATGGTGCAAATCAATGCCTATTGTTACATATGATTGCTAGCGATACAACTGGGTTGACACAGCACTCTGCGCCTCTCCTGATTAAGTGTACATTGGGTATTTCAGAGCTAGAACAAGCCATAGAGGAAGTCTGTGAGTTTTTCTTTATTTGTCAGTTTCTAAAAGGAGAAACTGAGCATTGTGTAGGGGTAAGAGCCAGAAAAGGAGAACCTATTCATGGCACAACTCACCCACTTCCTAGTTTCAGCCCCAACTCTGTGAAATATAAGCTTTGCAATTAATGAGAGCAGTCCCCTTCAGAGGGCAATTTAGTCACTATCAGTGACCAATGTAGCAGTGATTGGCCACATCTCTAACCTAAGTTATTTATGTACAGACCCCCAAGCCTCACAAGAGACCCAGCCATCTCAACAATGCATGCAGCACCACCATTTTCCCTCCTTCCTCACCATTGCACTGGCAAGGACTGGAGGGATGCTCCTCTCAACTATTCTTAGGAAAAACTATAAACTTATAAATAGGATAAATTAAGAGAGCTGATGAGGGAGGAAGAGGAGTTCTAGCTTGTGAATCAGGAGACCTTGATTCTAGCCCTGCTAGCTCAATACCAGTTCTGAAACTGTAGGCAAGTCACAAGCTCCCTGAGCCTCAGCATTCTTCACTACAAAACAAAGGACTGGGCAGAAAATCTTAATGATCACTTCAATCTTGTGTGATTCTGTGAAACTCAAAATAACACTGAAGTCAAGCACAATGAAAAAAATTGTCTAAAAGGAAAGTAGACTTTTTTATTTTTATATTTTTTCTTTATTCTCAGCCCATTCTCCATAACAATTCAAAATAGGTTTTGAAGCACATCCCAAGTATTATGTATTATCATGCTGTTTCTCAAACCAGCAATCCACTTCCTATACACAATTAAAATAATAAAATTGGAGAACCACAAGGAATACCAAACTCAGTGTTTCTTTTTGATGACAAAGAAACACAGATGCGGAGAAATCATGAGCTAATTCTTGGTTGAGCCTAAGTCCTTTGACTCTGCCCCGTGCTCTTCGAACTAACCCAGCTGCCTTTATTAAACTGCATTTTCCAAATGGGCAAACAGGATGACAAAAATGTCACGTTTAAAGTTCTCTAGCTGTGTTCTGACATTTAATGAAAGGAAAGGATGATGTAAACTATGGTGTTTTTAGTCATTTGTGTGTGTGTGTCACCATGGTATTCCTGAATGCCAGAGAGTAGCATTAGCTTTGTAGCCTCCATAGCACTTCCTAGAAGAAGCCAAAGAAAATAACTTGCTGGTGGGTTTGTGGAGCCCTTCCCCAGGCCAGACTTGGAACCCACCAAAGGATTGGGGACATGTTCCCTCAAAGGTAGACTTAGAGTGAAAAGATTCACCTTGTCACCTTTTACTGGTAAAAGCTTTGGTGGGATGCTAAGGACTGTTTTAAAGAATTTTCCAGGGAAATTGGGGTGGTATACAGCCACTGGCCACATATATCAGTGAATTTCTCAGAGTGAAGGTAAGTGGTCTTATTGCAGGAAACACTGGTTTATGTCTAAAGCAATCAAGGAAAGAAATTTTGGCAGCTCACTCAGCAGAGCCATTTCTCATTGTATTAGTTTCCTATTGCTTCTGTAATAAATTACCAGACACTTACCAACTTAAAACAACATGCATTTACTCTCTTAGGGTTCTGGAGGTCAGAAATGCAAAATGATTCTTGCAAGGCTAAAATTAAGTTGTCTTCAGGGTTGTATTCCTTCTGGAATCTTCAGGGAAGGATTTGTTTCCTTACCTTTTCTAGATTCCAGAGGTTTCCTGCACTCCTTAGCCCATGGCCTCTTTCCCCATCTTCAAATTGCATCACTCCAATCTTGGGTTCCATCATCTACCTCCTTCTGACTTTTGACCCCCTCCCTCTTATAAGGACCCTTGTGATTACAGTGGGTCCACCTGGATTATGCAGGATAATATTCCCATATCAAAATCCTTAATTTAATCACACCAGCAGGTCTTTTTTGTAACCACACTTTTGCGTGGTTAACATTCACAGGCTCCAGGGATTAGGATGTAGACATCTTTGGGAGGAGGGTCGTTATTCTGTCTACTACACCCACTATACAGTCTCAGTCTTTAGAGGAAAGTGAAATATGCCACAGAAAGTCACTACAATTACTCATGTGCTTTGGAAAGTTACTCCCTCCTCTCTCAGGCTCCATTGACCCATCTGTACAATGGGCAGGTGGTAGAAGCTGCTTCTAAGGTCTCTTCTAGTTCCAGTACTCTATGGTTCTAGGCCTGTGCTCTCCAGGACAGTAGCCACCAGCCACATGTAGCTATTGAGCACCTGAAATGCAGCTAGTGCCACATGTTGAAATAATAATATTTGGGGCATATTGAATTAAATAAAGGATATTATTAAAGTTAATTTTACTATCTTGTTTTTACTTTTTAAATATAGCTACTAAAAAGTGTAAAGTGCATGTGTGACCCACTTTATATGTCCATTGAACAGCACTGTTGCAGACCACCTGACCCAACCTTTATGACAGGAGTTTGAACATCTCGCCCAAGGGTAACAAACACATCATGTAGGGCACAACTCCCCCTCCGCTTCTGTGGCAGACAACACTTATCAACCTTACTCTTCCCCGCGTATCTGGATATGGCCTTCGGAATCCTCCTCAACACAGTGCTGGGGATAGTCACTAGCAATTAACTGGAATTAACACTCATATTATTTAAGACTCATTTTGTTGCTCTAACAGAAAACCCAATCCAAGGAAAAAATTTGGCTCATGTTATAAGAATTCTGAGTGGATCTGGCTTCAGGCACACACAGACCAGGCTTGCCCTCCTTCACTGACATCTTCCATGTCAGCTTCATTCTCAAGTTTCACTTGAGGGTTCCTGGCTACTCCTGGACCCCACTCTTATGACACCAAATCCCTCAAAAGACAGTCTGTTTTCTCCATGGCTCAAACAAAAGTCCTGGGTTGGATCTGGTTGGCTGCCCTGCTTGACCTGATTTGGGTCACTCTTTGGTTGTAGAGGTGGGGGAAAGTGAACCAGTCACTGTGGCCGGGGTGATAGCATTTACCAGTCAAATTACCCTCTGGATTTGAAAGTGGAGTGAACTTTCCAGAAAACACATGGCCTGAGAGTGGGGAAGGGAAGCCCCAAACAAAAGTTTGTAAGTGCTGTTGTCACAGGAAGCGGTAGTGGATGTCCATGTTGAAATCTCATTGCTGCTTCCTTCACACTCAGAGGCCAGTTATTCATGAAATGGAGCATGATGTTGCTAGATAACTCTGTTAGAAAAATCTTCCTTATCTTGAACCAAAGTCCACAACCCTATAAAAATGGCACACTCACCTTTGTCTACACATAGAACAATGTGGAATATGTTTATGTCCCCTGAATGTTCCTCCAGTAATACATTCCACAGCTATTTACTGAATGTCTACTCTTGAGGGCTTAGGGATCCAGAGGCAGACAACAGATGAAGTTCCTGTTGTTGAAGAGGTTATACCCCAGAGGCAAGAGAGAGAAAATGAACAAGCAAGGACAAAAATAAGCAAGAAAACAAACCACTGTTGGCTGCATTCCCAATTTGTATATTCCTATATTGTACAGTCTTGATATAAGGGTGTTTCCCAGTGCTGGCCTCCTCTGCCTCCTTCTGCATAGACAGGGTCCAGTATGTACCCTTAGACAGTAGGATGCTTACTTGTCTAGGACTTGAGCAAGTACCACAAACATGGAGGGGATATTGGGAGACCTTGGTGGCATTTGTAGGAGGCATTTCCTGGGTCCTGACCATGCCTACACTTCCCTTACTTTCTACCCAATCTTCCACCCCAGTCTCTAATTTTAACCCCTACTTGTGCAAGCCCAAATTCCCTTTCAATTAATGTCACTTTGGTTTAAGACAGCCAGCAGTAGTTTCTGCTGGTTGAAGTAAAATTCCCTGACTGGTACAATAAAATTATTTCCTGTGTGAGTCACCTTTTCTCTAGACTATACTGTGTTAGTGTCGTCAGACTTTCCTTGAATGAGTTGTTTTCCAAATCACTCTCCATCTCACCCTCTGATCATTATATTGTGGAACTCACAAACAGCCCCCACACTTCTCCTCTTTGGTTGTAGGGGTGGGGAAAAGATATGAACACAGAATTTTAAATTAAAATTATTTTTTTAATTAAATTTAATTTTAATTTTTTAAATTTAATTAAATTTTAATTTAAAATTCTGTGTTCATATCTTCCCCCACCACTACAAAAGTAAGCAATTAACTTATTTGCTTATTGTATAAGCAATTAATTAATTTAATTTACATTTACATTTAAATTTTAAATTCTGTGTTTGTGTCTTCCCCCCCGCCCCACAACCGAAGAGGGGAAATGTGGGGGCCGTTTCTGAGTTATATCCACATTATAATGATCAGAGGGTGAGGTGGAGAATGATCTGGAAAACAACTGATTCAAAGAAAGGCTGAAGACACTAACAGTACAGTCTAGAGAAAAGGTGACTCACACAGGAAATATTTTATTTTTCTACTATTTGTTCTGGAACATATGCATTATGCAGGCAATAGGAAAGTGTTTATATTTTACTTTTTAAAAAATGTTATTTTAATCAATCTATACTCAGTGATTCTATCCTATTCTGATAGAAACATGGAAAAGTGGGGCTAAGCCTCTTTGAGGACAGCAACAGATTGTAAAATTTTCCTTGTATTTCTCTGATAAACCACTGCATAATAATTGTGTTTTGGCTATACTTGTCTCCTGAAATATGTTTAGTGTGGTTTGAAAAAGATTAGACACACAAAAAATTATTGGCTCACAGACCTAGGGTTGAGCAGTTCAGATCTTGAGGGATGAAGATGCAGAGGCCTCCTTGACAGTGACACTGTGTCTCTGGAATACAAGCTTTGCACATCATACTTTATTTTCTGGGACATTGTCCCCAGCCCAGCATGTCCCCTGCTAAAGCCACCTCCTCCTGCCATTCCTGGCTTAGCTGGATCTTTCTCTGTAGCTTCAGTACCCTGCTACATACCTCTCAACGCCATGCATTTCCCCTTCAAGATGATTCAGTATCTGTCCTTGTTCATCACCATGAGAGTAGAGAGAGTGTTGATCACAGCCAAATCCCCAACATCTAGCTATGTGCCTGGCAAGTGGCAGGCTCTCAAAACCTAGTGCACTGAGTTGAATTGGTAGAGAAAGATGTAAAGAAGAAAATCCACAGATTTTTCCAGAACATATGCATTATGCAAGCAATAGGTATGTCTTTATATTTTACTTTTTAAAAAATTATATTTTAGGCTGGGCGCAGTGGCTCACACCTGATATCTCAGCACTTTGGGAGGCCGAGGCGGGCGGATCACGAGGTCAGGACATCGAGACCATCCTGGCTAACACGGTGAAACCCCGTCTCTACTAAAAATACAAAAAAAAAAATTAGCTGGGCCTGGTGGTGGGCGCCTGTAGTCCCAGCTACTCGGGAGGCTGAGGCAGGAGAATGGCGTGAACCCGGGAGGCGGAGCTTGCAGTGAGCCGAGATCGCGCCTCTGCACTCCAGCCTGGGCGACAGAGCAAGACTCCGTCTCAAATAATAATAATAATAATAATAATAAAATGATATTTTAATCAAACTCTACTCGATATGATTTGGCTCTGTGTCCTCACCCAAATCTCATCTTGAATTGTACTCCCATAATTCCCACGTGTTATGGGAGGGACCTGATGAGACATAATTTGAATCATGGGGGCAGTTTCCTCCATACTGTTCTCGTGGTAGTGAATAAGTCTCATGAGATCTGACGGTTTTATCAGGGGTTTCCACCTTTGCATCTTCCTCATTTTTCTCTTGCTGCCCCCATGTAAAAGTGCCTTTCACCTCCCGCCATGATTCTGAGGCCTCCACAGCCATGTGGAACTATAAGTCCAATTAAACCTCTTTTTCTTCCTAGTCTCGGGTATGTCTTTATCAGCAGCATGAAAATGGACTAATACAATACTCCAGTCTGAATATGCTGTAGGAGAAACAGTGAAGGAGGCCAGATTGGAATGCTCAAGCTTTCCAGTGTGAGCCTACCTCGCTTTGGAAAACAGCTTGAGCTGCTTTAGGTCCTCAGGCTCCCATCACTTCCCGACCCTCTCCACGGAGACCAGCTCTCTGCTAGACTTTCACCTTGTCCCTGGAAAAAGCCCAGAACTCCAAGTTCACAGCCAAGCTTTTTCACTAACCCAGCATACAGCCTTCGGGAGGTCACTTTAGCCTCTGTGGGCTTCATTTCACTTACCGTCAAATAGGCAGATTGTACAAAAGGACCTTGAATATTCCTTTCACCCCAAAACCCAGGAATCTAATTAGGATAGAGTTGCAGTGGGATTTTCCCATTAAACCCCAATCTGTGTAATGAAAATAAGACCAGGCCCTGCAACTGTCAGAGGGGAGCATTATTCTTTCCTAAACTACCCTGTCAATTATAACAGCAGAGGGGCTGCACCATGCCATGTGGGGTTTGAATAAATGCGGATCATGTTGGGTTTTTCTGTTGTTGTTTCTCCTTTGTGTTACTTATCTAAAATTCAGGTTAAGCCAGGCATATGTAATAAGTATTTGTGCTTTCTGGAAAGCAGCTGTAATGATTTGTGAATGTCTTCGTTGTAAGTTCAAAGCATCTCCTAGAGGCTCATTTTACTCAATAAAATCACTTCCTCTAAAAGCTCTGCCCATGTATTTACCACCTTATGGAGAACAAATAATCACACAGACATTTTCTCTTTTATGAAATTCCAAACATGATTTAAGAGGGTCCTCTAGGGGAAAAAAATGGTGAAACCGGTATTTTTTTAAAAAACAATCTGGGGAAGTCATTCATTAATTAAAAACTAAATTACACTGACAAAACTTTACCCTAAAACACTACCAAGATGTATTTTAAAGCACTTCATAAACTCCTAATCATTTGCAACTGTTAGCACTCTGTTCCAAGTGAGGTTTTAGAAATTAATCCACACAACCACACGGGTCACTAACGTTCCTCATCTCATGCACTGAAAGCAAGAGATGGACCAAAACCTCAAATTATAGGCTGTAAAAAAAAAATGCTGTAGGAAAATCACATCAGGATTCAAACACTTTACGACACCCACCAATACTTTTAAAAATTTGTATGGAAGTATAATAGCATACAGACAGAAAAGTGCAAAAATGGTAAGCTTACAGCTTGATATGTTTTTTACAAAAAGAACACACCACTGTCATAAGCATTCACAGCAAGCAACAGAACACTACAAATGCCCGCTACACCCCCCATCTGTCTCCTTCCAGGAAGTACCCTCTCCTGTGTGACTTCTCAACAAGGTGATAGAGAAAGATTCTGAAGAAGCACATCTAAGGCCAGGCGCAGTGGTTCATGCCTGTAATCCCAACACTTTGGGAGGCTGAGGCAGGCAGATCACTTGAGGTCAGGAGTTCAAGACCAGCCTGGCCATCATAGTGAAAATCTGTCTCTACTGAAAATACAAAAAAAAAAAAAAAATAGCCGGGCACTGTGGCGTGTGCCTATAATCCCAGTTACTAGGGAGGCTGAGGCAGGAGAATCGTTTCAACGTGGGAGGTGGAGGTTGCAGTGAGCCGAGCCACTGCGTTCCAGCCTGGGCAACAGAAAGAGACTCCATCTCCAAAAAAAAAAAAAAAGAAAAAAGTACATCTAAGCTGAGAATGGCAGGGTGATTGGAAATCTAGACAGGGAAGAGCTGAGGGGACAGGGTGGAGAGGGGGAAATATCCCAGGGAGACGCAGCAACATGTGGAAAGCCTGACTTCTCAAAACATAGGTTATTTTTGCCTGTTTTTATATTTTATACAAATGAAATCATACAGCATGAACTCGTTTGTGTCTGGCTTCTTTCATTCAACATTGGGTCTGCAGCTGTAAATCATTCATCTCCCTTGCTATCTTCCAGTGTGTGAATGTACCACAATTTGTTTATCCATTCTGCTGTTGTGGGCATACGGGTCATTTTCAGTTTGGGATCATTACAAATAGAGCATCCCCACCAGTGTTATTACCAATAGATTAGAATGACATGCCCAGGTCCTTTGCCCAGTAGTTCTGAAGACGAGAGAATCAATAGCGTAAAAACAATAGAGAAGGGCAGCGGTTTTCAGATGTTAGTGGGCACCAGACCCATCTGCTGGGTTTGTTGCAGTACAGATTGCCGGGCCTCGAGAGAATCTGATTTGGCAGGTCTACAGTGGGGTCTGAGTATCTGCATTTCTAACAAGTTTCCCGGAGATGCTGAAGCTGCTTGTGCAGACACCACACTCTGAGAACCACTGAACCAGAGATACTTGCAAAGCTTTGCCTTGGTGGTACCAAGTATTACTGAAATCATACCAACTATGATGAATGGCACAGGTAGCGTCCAGCAATCCCTAACATCCAGACTCATTTTCAAAATCTCTCCAGCTTCACAGAGCTCTTACACAGAAAATTATTTCTGCCTTCCATCAGGGAAGATCATTCAGGCTGCAAGAAACAGAGACCCCCGTCTCCTTCAGGTTCCCTCAAGTGATTCAACTTGTATAAGGATAAACAGGAGTAAGGAAGCTCAGGAAATGACACTGGAGCTACTCAGCCAGGCCTTAGACAGTTGTGCTTGTCAAACTTAGTGAGCAAATGAATCATCTGGGGATCTGGAGTCAGGAAGTGGAAGGCGGGGCCTAATATTCTGCATTTCTAATGAGCTCCCAGGTGATGCTAATGCTGCCAGTCCACAGATCACACAGTGTAACAAGGTTGTAGAGAATGGAGTATCCTTCATCCCTGTTGCCGACACCGCAGCAGCACCGGGTCTCTGTTGGTCACCTTGAGAATCCTATAGCAACCCAAGAAGTCTTCCAGGCTCAGACTGAACACCTGCATTTCTGCTTTTCTCCGTAGCTCCTCCCCCACTTCCCCACCACTGACTTCTCTGCCCCAGACCTCGCTCTCACCCATGGCTTCTCCTCCTTTGGGCTTTTCCCCACTGCCTTCTCTCCATTTCTCTGCCCCTCAACTGTCTGCTAATATTGTGTGATACTTTACATTCTAATTTTCCAATAGAGAAGATCTGATTGAGTCACGTTGGGCAGAGTTATTGAACTGTAAAGGCGGGTCATACCTACCTTTGGGTTACGTGCCAATCACTGGCCTCATTAGGTGTAGCCTGGGAAAGGTGGGTCTGGGGTACAAGAATAATGACCTGTATCAATGGTTCACAGCCTTGGCTACACATTAGAATTACCCGAGGGCATTAAAAAATGCCCAGCCCAAGGCTGAAACCATGGAAATTTGATTTCTGTTCATCTAGGGTGGAGGCCCAGGCATTGGTATTTTCCAAGAGCTCCTCGAGTATTTCTAAGTAATAGCCAGTGTCACTGACCGTATTAGGTTCCAAAGGCTGCTGCAACAAAGTACCACCAACCGGGTGGCTTAAAACAACAGAAATTTCTTCTCATGGTTCTGGAGGCTAGAAGTCCAAAATCAAGGTGTTAGCAGGGTCATGCTCCCTCCAAAGCCACTGTAGGAGGAGACTTCCTTGCCTCGTCCAGCTACTGGTAGAACCAGGCATTCTTTGTTTGTGGCCATACAACTCCAATCTGTCTCTATCTTCACTTGGCCATCTGCCCTCTGTGTATGTGCCTGTGTCCAAATTTCTCTCTTCTTATAAGAACACAGTCATATTGGATTAGGGCCCACTCTGGTGATCTTATTTTAACTTGATTACACCTGCAAAGACCTTACTTCCAAGTAAGACCACATTCATGGGTACTGGAGGTTAGGACTTCAGCATATCTTTTAGGGGTACACACTTCAATCCACTGATCTTTATGTGGGAACCTCTCAGGAGGGGGCTATGGCTTAGGTGGTCATGTCAAGAGTGTTCTAAAGGGGACCGTGTAGGAGACCATCACCTTGCATGACCCTCCCACATGATTCCTTCCCACATTTCCTCTGACCTACCCCAAAAATTATGCTACCTTGGGAACTGGTAGTCTTAGTTTTCCTGCCCAATTTTGAGAGAGTCACTCATTCCACCCACAGTAACCTCAATGCTCAAGAAAACAAAACTCATAACCTTGGCATCCACATTTTGGAAGGTGGTTACTCCCACCACCCTAATTTATTCTCAGACCTATTTACAAAATTGCAAAGAGACAGCATTTTGCTATCGTATAATTAACATCACAGAGTCTGTAAGAAAATCACAACTCTTTGAAATACCAGAAAAAATAGATCAAGCCAAAACAAAATTGTTATGACCAGAAAAACCTGGCAGGTTTGTCGGGTTTGTTCCATAAATGATAGGACTTTACAGTTCGTGGGGGATTGCGTGCTCCCTCCACTAATATAAAAACATAAACATGGGCAAATTCTTCATGTCATTGACACTTCGATGTTGACATTCAAGGCATTTGTAAATTATCTGAGAGGTAAAAGAATGTTCAGATATTCTCTGAGGACTGCATGAATAATACTTCAAGTGTAAGTACAATTACTACTCCCCATTTTTAAGTTTCAGTGATGTAAGTAGTTCTCCAAAGCTGATTCCAAAAGTCTAAGAGTGATTTTGGTTTAGAGGTGGCTGGGCCACAAGAGTACCCAGTTGCCACAAAATTAGCATTTACAGGACAAAAAAGCAAGTTTTAGCTGTGGTTCTGGCCAAACAACACACTCTACATGTTCAGTGGTTACTAAGCAATCTGGTCCTGTGTATACCGCCCATCGCCTTTAGGGAGACCTTGTAACATTGTGGTCATCTGAGCACACCCGGGAGTAAGACAGACCCGTCTCAGCTTAGCGGTTCATGAGCTGTGTGTCCTCGGTCACATCACTCACTGCCTCTGAGCCTCGGTGTCCTCAGTTGGAAACTGAGAATCACACTGCCTCCCTCATAGCGCTCTTTTGAGTATGAATTTTAACAATGAAACAAAGTGCTTAGCAGTGGCTACCACAAAATAGACATCTAATAAATATTACTGCTCTTATGGACTGATAGACTGTGTCCCACCCCCAAAATTTATATGTTGAAATCCTAACTCCCAATGTGGTGGTATTAGGAGGTGGGGCCTTTGGGAGGTGATTATATCATAAGGATAGAACCCACATGAATGGGATTAGTGCCCTTATAAGAAAAGCTGCTTACAAGAAGAGACCCTGATAAAAAAGCACTTGCTTCCCCTCTCTCTGCTCTCCACTGAGGGAGGGCACAGAAAAAAGACAGCCATCTGCAAACCAGGAAGCAGGCCCTCAGCAGACACTCGACTTGCTGGCACCTTGATCTTGGGCTTCCCAGACAGCTGAACTCTAAGAAATAAATTTCTGTTGTTTAGGCCACCCAGTATATGGTATTCCATTATGGCAGCCTGAACTGACTAAGGCAGCTGTTAATCGGCTGTCATCATCACTGAGGTAGCAGTCTCCATTTGTTCACATAATCTATGTCTGTACATGGACAGTGTATCCAATTATCTGAGAAGGCCCCATGTTCCCCATTCTTTCTTCCTGAACCAGAGTTCTGTTTTTGCTCTCTGTGATGAATTTCTAACACTTTTTCATATATCAAAATCAAGCAACCAGTAGGCCATGAATTTCTTATGTCTTGTAATGTACTAGGACCTGTGAGAAGTACAAAGAAATGGAGGCCACCATCAGGGCCTCAAAGAGTTTACAATCTTGTATGATCAGAGCACGAAAGAGGGATGGGTATATCCAACTAAGGACCAAAAGAGATTACACAGAAAAGGAGTTATTTAAGTTGAACTTTGGAGGAGTTGGGGAAGGGTAGGTTTGGTGGGAAGGACATTCCAGACAGCGGAAACAGCATAGGTAAAAGCCCAGGTTATAGAAAACAGAAACAGCAGCCTTAAACCAAAGGAAGTAGAAAGGAAGATAATTCAAAAACAGGAAAAATAGTGCAAAAATATTATTAATATTTGAAGAGAGAACAGCTAAGGATTTCTCAGCATTGAATAGGGACTGAAATCCACAAATTAAAATATTCTCATAAGGATTCAGTAAAGTAAGTCTGGTTTTTTTAAAAAGGTTTACACATACATGTATCACGGTGAAACATCAAAACAAAAGAATATCTGAGTGGTGGATCACCTGGCTGGTGTGTCGATGAATGAAGGACTCAGCTAGCTGTGAGAATTAATGTAAATGGCAGGATATCTTGATCACCAACACTTTAAAGACACTTGCAGCCCTGGGCTTCTCCTAGGGATTTTTTTTAAAGGATAAAGATAGAAACCAAAAGTAATTACAGTGGAAACCAGAGAAGCTATAACGGATCAAGAATAAGACTGACTCAGGTGTGTCTTTAGCAACCTGGCTGTAAAAGACATGTGTGTAATAAACATATTCACAGAGCTAAAAAAAAACTTTGAATCAAAGTGAAATATTGTACAAATGGCTTCATTTTGACCATCTGACCCTTTGCCAACTCTCGATTTTTTTTCTTGACAGAGAATTCAACCAAAGAGTGGATATGAATCCATTCATGACTCCCTCTCAGGGTGAAACACTTGACTCTCCAGCTATCAAATGTGGTGTCTGGTTGACTTCATGTCTGACAAAGTGCTGAATGTGGTCTTCTGAGAGAATCCTCTAACTTCTGTCTCTGTGCCATCCAAAGATGCAGATTCACCCAAAAGAGCAGCCAAATATTGACTGCCATTCCCACTGTGTATTGTGAGTTGGAAATCTCTAATTTTAGAATGACCAAGAAAAGAAATTAATAGGATATGATGGCACAACTTCTCTATCTTTGAGCCTTGACCAGACTGCATAACACATCATCTCAGTGAGTGAAACAATTATTATTTTTTTTTAAAAAAAAAAAGCATCATGCCCTTGTTATATTAAGATTATATTGAGTCATTTCTTCTTAATTTACCTAAAATCACTGGTCCTCTGGAGTAATGGTATCTAATAAATGATCCACAAATGACAAAAACAAAAAACTACTGACTTAGGGAATGAAGTCTAAATTCCTTAAGGTACCAGGAGGTGAGATGTCCTCTTTGTATTAGCTTTCACTGCCATGCTCTGCCTCTTACCCAACTCTGCAGCCTCACCTATGGTTCCCAGGATGTGCCATGCTGTATTATAGTTCCATACCAGTGGTCACCAGCCTACTCATTCCCTTCCTTTCCCTTCCCTAGGCCACCAACTTATCATTCAAAACCAGTTAAGAGTCACCTCCTCTACCTAGTTTTGCTGACATGCAAAACCTGAGGGAAATGGATTCCCTCAGCTCAGGGCCACTTGTGTTCAGATCAAAATGGCAGGCAGTTACCATACATGCTTTCTGCTCGAAGGCAATGGTTACTTAGTCACATTTAGAGCATTCTTATACCTGTGTAAAAGATTTAAGCTTGGCTTGAGGAAACAGCTCCCACAAAGGTGTCTTCTCTGGGCACTTCCCCTACAGCAAGAATTTTAATACCCTGCTGTAGGTGGGGACAAGCTATTTTGTTTGACTGGCATTATACTGTGTTGATTAAAACAATGAGTGATTAAGAAAGAAAAAAATGTCATTATTTTGGCTCAGAATAATCAGCAGTGATTTGCTTGGTGATGAGTAAGTTCTATTACCATATGTTTATTGGGTAATTTTTAAACTCCCTTTATAATTGAAATTCTTCAGAAAAAAAAAGTATGTACACTTCCAAGCCCTTAACATACTTCTATTGAAATAATTATTTTCTAACACAATTTTTATAATCCAAGTCATCTTAGGAAACCAGCTCTCATGTTATGGCAGAAAAGATTAGGTGGGCAAGAATGTGGAGTGTTGCAGTCTGGGCCAGCAGAGAGGATGCAAAGATAGTACTCACTCTGAGGGCATAAATAAGGCCAGTGAATCTTTAAAACAATCTGCTTAAACTCCCAGAAACACTAGATGGTTATGAGCTTTATTTCTAGAAACTTCTAGTTCTCCACTGATGAGATGTGGAAAGGGGGGTAGATTTCATGACAACAATTTGGGTGATCACCATTTGGTACCCACCACAGTCAGGTTTCCCATCGTTTGTCTCCTGCTTAGAGGGTTGTAGCAAGGAATTTACTGCAAGTGAGTCCAACGAAGCTCACTTTTCACTAGTTCCTTAAATTGAACATGGAGCACTAGAGAGGACAGATAGCTCTGTTACCCTCTGGCCACATAAAAGAAGAGTGGGAGTTTCCCAAAGATAGATGGCAACGCTACTCAGAAGCCACATAAAGAGTTGGATGGTGGGTGCAAGAAGCCCCTAAAGTAGCAGCAGCCCAGCTTTGGAAATTCACCATGAGAGCCTAGTGGATAGGAAGAGGAATGATTCAGCATCAGGGGCCCAGAAGCCCAGCTGGGTCTGGCTTTGGAAGGCACCATAAGGAGGGAGGAAAAGTTTTTCCACTTTTTTTATTGTGGTAAAATACACACAACACAAAATTTATCTTAACCACTTTAAAGTGTCCAGTTTAGTGGTATTAAGTACATTCAAATTGTTTTCCATCACCACCATCTATGTCCAAAACACACTGCCTTGCAAAACTCAAACTCTATGCCCACTGAACAATAACTCTTCGTTTTCTCCTTCCCCCAGCTCCTGGAAACCACCATTTTACTTTCTGTCCCTAGGATTTTGACTGAGTACCTCATATAAGTGGACTCATACAGTATTTGTCTTTTTCTGACTGGCTTATTTGCCTGGCTTGATGTCTTTCTGGTTTATCCATGTTGTAGCATATGACAGAATGTCCTCCGTATTCAAAAATGAATAATATTCCATTATACATATCCACATTTTTGCTTACCCATTCATCTGTGGATGGGCACTTAGGTTGCTTCTTTGTTTTGGCTATAGTGAAAAATGTTGCTATGAACATGGGTGTACAAATGTCTCTTTAAGACCCTGCTTTCAGTTCTTTTGACTATATACCTAGAAGTGTAGTTGCCAGATCATATGGTCATTCTATTTTTAATTTCTCAAGGGACTGCCATACTATTTTCCACAGCAGCTATACCATTTTTGCATTCCCACCAGCAGTTGGCATAAGGGTTCCAATTTCTCCATATCCTCATCAACACTTGTGATTTTCTGGCCTTTTGATAATAGGTAGCTAATAGGTATCAGATGGTATCTCATTGTAATTTTGATTTGCATTTGCCTAGTGATCAGTGATATTGAACACCTTTTCATATGTTTGTTGGCCATTCGTACATCTTCTTTGGAGAAGTATCTATTCATGCCTTTTTAATTTAGTTGTTTTATTGTTGAGTTTCAGGAGTTCTGTACATATTCTGGGTATTAATACCTTATCAGACTTATGATTTGCAAATATTTTCTCCAATTCTGTGGGTTGCTTTTTTTACTCTGTTGATATTGTCTTTTGATACACAAAAGTTTTTAACTTTCATGAAGTCCAATTTGTCTATTTTTTCTTTTGTTGCCTGTGCCTTTTGTGTCACAACCAAGAAATCATTGCCAAATCCAATGTTATGAAGTGTTTGTCCTATGCTTTCTCCCAAAGGTTCTATAGTTTTGGGTCTTACATTTAGATCATGGATCCATTTTGAACTAATTTTTTATACAGTGTTAGGTAATGGAACAACTTTATTCTTTTGCATTTGAATATCCAATTTTCCCAGCACTATTTATTTTTCAGACTGCCTTGGCCAGGCATGGTGGCTCATGCCTGAAATCTCAGCAATTTGGGAGGCTGAGGCAGGAAGATCACTTAAGCCCAGGAGTTCAAGACCAGCCTGGGCAACATACTGAGACCCATCTCTACACACACACAGACACAAAAGCTGGGTATGTTGGCACATGCCTGTAGTCCAAGCTACTCGAGAGGCTGAGGTGGGAGAATAACTCGAGCCCAGGAGGTTGAGGCTGCAGTGAGCTGTGATTTTGCCACTGCACTCCAGCCTAGGCAACAGAGAGAGATCCTGTCTCAAAAAGAAAAACACAAAAACAAAAACAAAAGAACAGACTGTCTTCTCCCCCAGTGAATGGTAGGCATTCTTTTCAAAACTCGTTTGACCATATGTCTGAGGTTTATTTCTGAACTCTCTATGTCTGTATTTACGTCAATAGCACACTGTTTTGATTACTGTAGATTTATAGTAAGTTTTGAAATCAGGAAGTGTGAGTCCTCAAACTTTGCTCTTCTTTTTCAAGATTGTTTTAGCTATCCTGGATTCCTTGAGATTCCATATGAATTTTGGAATGGATTTTTCTATTTCTGCAAAAAAAAATTATTGGCAGTTTGACAGGTATTGCATTAAATCTCCAGACCACCTTGGGTAGTACTGACATCTGAACAATATTTTTCTCCAATCGATGAACATAGGACATCTTTCTAATTATTTATGTCTTCTTTAATTTCTTTCAGAAATGTTCTGTAGTTTTCATTGTACAAGTCTTAATTGTTTAAGTTAATTTCTAAGTATCCTTTTTGATGCTATTGTAAATGGAATTTTTAAAGTTTTCTTTTCAGATGTTTATTGTTGGTGTATAAAAATGCAACTAACTTTTGTGTATTGACTTGTATACTGGCACTTCACTGAATTTATTTGTTCTAACAGTGTTTTTTTGTGGAATCCTTAGAGTTTTCTACATATAAAATCATATCATCTGTAAAATCATATAATTTTACTTATTTTACAACCTGGATGACTTTTATTTCTTTTTCTTGCCTAATGGCTCTGGCTCAAACTTCTCATACTGTGTTGAGTAGAAGTGGGCATCCTTGTCTTATTCCTGATATTAGAGAAAAGAATTTCAGTCTTTCACCATTGAGTATGATGTTCCTTATGAGTTTTTCATATATGGCTTTTATTATGTTGAGGTAGTGTCCTTCCATTCCTAGTCTGTTGGGTGTTTTTATCATGAAAGGGTGCTAAATTTTCAAATGCTTTTCTGTATTAATTGAGATGATCAGGTGAGTTTTTTCCGTTCTTTCTGTTAATATGGTGTATTACATTGAGTGGTTTTCATATATTAAACTATCTTGTATTCCAGGAATACATCCTACCTGGTCATAGTGTATGATCGTTTTAATATGCTGCTGAATTCAGTTTGCTAGTATTTTGTTGAGGATATTTGCATCAATGTTAATAAGGGATATTGAGCTGTGGTTTTTTATTTTTTATATGATGTCTTTGGCTGGCTTTAGTATCAGGGTAAAACTGGTCTCATTAAATGAGTGAGGGAGTGTTCCCTCAAATTTTGGAAAAGTTTGAGAATTGGTATTAGTTCTTTAAAAGTTTGGTAGAATTTCACCAGTGAACCCATCAAGTCCAAGGTTTTTCTTTATCGTAAAATTTTTGACTACTGATTTGATCTTCTTACTAGTTATAGGTATATTTAAATTTTCTATTTCTTCAAGGTTTAGTCTTGGCAGGTTTTGTGTTTCTAGGAATGGGTTCACTTCATCTCGGTTATCCAATTTTTTTGCCATAATATTGCTCATAGTAGTCTTATAATCTTTTTATTTCTGTAGAATTGGTAGTAATAGCTCTACTTTCATTTCTGATTTTAGTAATTTGACCCTTCTGTATTTTTTCTTAGTCCATCTAGCCAACAGATTTTCATTTTGTTTATCAATTTGAAGAACCAATTTCTGGTTGTATTGATTTTATCTATTATTTTTCTATTCTCTATTTCACTTAGCTCTGCTTTACTCTCTGTTACTTCTTTCCTTCTGTTAGCTTTGGGTTTCGTTTGATCTTCTTTTTCTAGTTTCTTAAGGTGTAAAGTTAGATTATTGATTTAAAGTCTTCCTTGTTTCTTTAATGTAAGCACTTGTAGTGACAAAGTTTTCCCCTTAGCACTGTGTCTGTAAGTTTTGGTATGTTGCGTTTTTGTTTCTATTCATCTCTAAGTATTTTCTAGTTTCTCTTGTGATTTCTTCTTTGGTCCATTGGTGGTTTAAGTGTGTTGTTTAATTTCCACAAAATTTGTGAATTTTTCTATTCCTTTTCTGTTACTGACTTTTAACTTTATCCTATTGTGATCAGAAAAAAATACTTTATATGATATCTATTTTTAAAAAATCTATTGAGATATGATTTGTGGCCTAATGTATTGTCTACCCATGAGAATGTCCCATGTGCACTGGAGAAGAATGTGTTTTCTTTTGATGGGTACAATGTTCCATATATGTCTGTTAAATCTAGTTTATTACATTGTTCAAGTTTTCTATTTCCTTACTTACTTTCTGTCTGGTTGTTCTGTCCATTATTGAAAATAAGATATTGGAGTCCCCAACTATTATTATATAACTATGTCCCTCTTCAGTTCTATTCATTTTTGCTTCCTATATTTTGATGGTCTTTTATTAGGTGTATAAATGTTTTTAAATGTTATCTATTCTTGCTATATTGAACCTTTTATTGAGATGTCCTTCTTTGTCTCTTGTAAGCTTTTTTGATTTACAAATTTTATTTTGTCTGATATTACTACAGCCACCACTGTTCTCTTTTGGTTATTATTTACATAGACTATTCTTTTTCATTCTTTCACTTTAAATCTATTTGAATCTTTGAGTCTCTTGAAGGCAGCATATAGTTAGATTTTTTTAATCTATTTTTTTGATCTCTGTTTTGAAGAGTTGAATCCATCTACATTTAAAGTAATTACTAATAAACAAGGACTTACTTCTGTCATTTTAATATTTGTTCTTTATAGGCCTTATAGCTATTTTAGCCCCTGTTTCATGCATTATTATCTTCATTTGCATTTCATTGATTTTTTTAATAGTAAAATCTTTTAATTCTTTTTGCATTTCCTTTTATGTACATTCTTTAGCTCTTTTCTTTGAGGATATATTGCCATGGGGATAACATTTAACATCCTAAAGTTATAACACTGTAATTTGAATTTATACTGATTTATCTTCAATAACATACAAAACTCTGCTTCTTTAACAGCTCCATCTTCACCTTTTTCAGTTATCACAATATCTTTATTCATTATGTGTCCAAAAATATAAACTGATAATGTTTTTGATTCATTAGTCTCTTAAATCATGTACACAACAAAATGTGGAGTTACACACCAAAGTTACAATGATATTAACTTTTAAACTAAGGATTTTTTTAAAGTGTTGATGTCTTAAATCATGTAGAAAATAAAATGTGAAGTTACAAGCCAAAGTTACTATATTAGCTCTTAGACTAATAACTTTTAATGTATTAGTATCTTAAATCATGTCAAAAACAAAAAGTATAGCTGGGCATGGTAACTCATGTCTGTAATCTCAGTACTTTGGGAGATTGAGATGGGCAGATTGCTTGAGTACAGAAGTTGGAAACCAGTCTGGGCAACATGGTGAAACCTCGTCTCTACAAAAAATACAAAAATTAGCCAGGCATGGGGGCCATGTCTGTAGTCCCAGCTACTCAGGGTGCTGAGGCAAGAGGATAGCTTGAGCTCAGGAGGTTGAGGCTGCAGTGAGCCAATATCACACCACTGCACTCCAGCCTGAGTGACAGAGTGAGACCCTGTCTCAAAAAAAAAAAAAAAAAAAAAAAAAAGTGGAGTTATATACACCATTGTTACAATAATACTAGCTCTTATAATTACTCATGTTTTCACCTTTACTGAGATCCTTATTACTTCATACAGCTTTCAGTTACTGTCTAGTGTCCCTTTGTTTCATCTTGTAGGACTCCCTTTAACATTTTCTGTAGGGCAGGTCTAGTAGCAATGAATTCCCTCAGCTTTACTTTTTCTATCAATGTCTTAATTTCTCCATTAATATTGAAAGTCAATTTTGTCAGATATGGAATTCTTGGTTTATAGTGGTTTTTTAAAAAAAGCATTTTGAATATATAAGCCCAGTGCCTTTTGGCCTCCAAAGTTTCTGATGAGAAATCTGTTAATAATCTTATTGAGAATCTCTTCTGTGTGATGAATTGCTTCTCTCTTGCTGTTTTCAAGATTCTCTCTTTGTCTTTGTCTTTCAACAGTTTGATTATAATGTATCTCAGTGTAGGTTTCTTTGAGTTCATCTACTTGGAGTTTGTTGAGCTTCTTGGATATTTATATTCATGTCTCTCACCAAACATGGGAATTTTTCAGCCATTATTTCTTCAAATGTTCTATCTGCCCTTTCTCTCTCTGTTCTCCTCTGGAACTCCCATAATACGTATTTGGTCCTCTTAATGATGTCCCACAGGCCCCTTGGACTCTGTTCACTTTTCCTTAATCCTTTTTCTTTCTGTTGTTCATACTCAATAATTTCTATCGTCATATCTTCAAGTTCACTAATCCCTTCTTCTGCCTTTAAAAACTTGCTTTTGAATCCCTCTAGTGAATTTTAAATTTCAGTTATTGTACTTTTCAATGCCAGAATTTCTTCTTGGTTTCTTTTTAGGTTCTCTCTCTCTTTACTGATGTTTCCATTTGGTTCATACGTCAGTTTCTTGACTTTATCCATGTCTTTCTTTGGTTTTTTGAGCATCTTTAAGACAGCTGTTTTAAAGACTTTGCCATCAGGTATTTTTCAGGGATAACTCCTGTTGGTTTGGTTTTTAATCTTTAAATGAACCCTACTTTCCTGTTCCTTTGTATGCCTTGTAATTTGTTGTTGTTTTTGTTGTTGAAAACAGGACATTTGAATCTAATAATGTAATTCAGGAAATCAGATTCTCCCTTTTCCTTAGCATTTCTATTTTTATTTCTGTTTCTTATTTGCATTGTGGTAGCTGTCTCTGGGTTAAAGATCAGCCTGAGGTATAAACTTAAAGTCTTCTCAGATCGTCTCTGAGCCTATGCCTTTCCCTGAACCTGTGTGGTGACTTTCTATTCCCCCCATATATGCAGTTGCTTCTGAATGTCCTAGTCCTCAGACTAGGTTCTAGTGTCTGGTTCCCAAAAGGGGGAAAACAAGAAAAATGAAAGGGTAAAAATAAAGGATGCTGGCTCTTTAAACCCTCAGGAAGTTGCTTCAGCCAGAGAAGGCAGGGCTTGCAGCAATGGGGGAAGGTGCAACAATAATGGGTGCCACCTCTTTGTCTACATCTCTGTGATTGGAAGCAGCAATCAGCAATGAGAGCATGGATCCCCAATATTTAGAGAACAAGGTCCTTTTTGTCCACTCCAACTTCCAAAGGCTGCATGCAACCTGCTCCAGGAACATATGCATGGCTGCCTGCCATGGGGCTTAGGGGTGGATGATGGGTAGCTACTGTGCTAAGAGCTAAAATTGGCCAAAATTAACTGCAATTTATCATCTAAAACCTTCCCCTGGAAGTGGAAAGCCTTCAGTAGACTCCAGAGTTCCAAAATAGTTATACCAGATAGATTCTGCCAATGTAATTGTTACCTAGGTAGGAAGACAGATTTCTGGTGCTTCCTATTCTGCCATCTTCCAGAAATTTTTTAATTGGAAATTTCAGATCTTGCTTTGGAATAATTTTTGTAAGAAACGCATGCCTTCACTTCGTGAAATAATATGTGGACCTTGAGTTGATCCGTGGAGCCAGCCAGAGTTTCACCAAACAGCATCCACTTCCTGTTGGATACTGACTCTAGGATGAGTGGTTTGAGAAGCAGAGGGATTGAGGAGAGATAATGACAGTTCCTGTGTTCCCTGTGGTTTCATGGAGGATGGCACAAAGCACCAAAGCAACATGACCCCAAGACATTCCCAGAAAGGGCAATAGAAGGAAGCACAGAACAGCTTCTGAGGTAAAACTCAAAACCCAAAATGAGCTCAGGCGTAGTGGTCTGCACACGGCAGAGAAGTCCTGACTTTAAACAGAAAGATGCCCCTGGGAGGGATGGAGCAAGTCTTTTGGGGGTGGCCTTTCCCCAGCCTCCTAGGAGAGTTGTGCACAAAGACATCCTGACATGTGATACTTCTTCACTTCCTCAGAGGAAAACTCTGAGGTGTTTGCTCTTGTTCTTGTTTGTTGTTGTTGTTGTTGTTTTGCCTAAAGGCAAACTCAGAAAACTCAGACCCTGATCAATAATGAAAGTCTATCATTTAAGCCTTAGTGCAAATATCCAAAATATTTTCCCCAGTTTTATCTTAGAATGTTAAACCATTAGAATTAAAAGAATAGTATAATGAACACCCATATACCATTTACCTAGACTCACCAATCACTTTCATTTTGTCATATTGACTTGTTTTTCATGCTGAAACTCATTGAATGTAAATTGCAGACATCATGACAGTTAACTTTTAAATATTTAAGTATGTATCTTCAAATGGCACTGTCCTACACAACCACAATATCATTAGTACACCTTAGAAAATTAATATCAATTTAACAATATTGAATATACGGTTTATATTTAAATTTTACCCAGATATTCCCAACAATATCCTTAAAGTTTCTTTTTAAATCCAGAATCCACTCACATATTTTATCTGATTTTCATCATGTCTTTTTAATCTAGAATAGTTCTTCCATCTAGAATAGTTCTCTATTAATTTTTGTCTTTCATCATATGGGCATTTTGAAGGGTCCAAACCAGTTTTTGCATAATGTACTCAACTGTATTTGTGTGGCTTTTTCCTCATGACAAGATTCAGTGTATGTGTTTTTGGCAGGACCTGCAATTGTACCCTTCTCAGTGCATTACATCAGAGGCCACATGATGCCATGTTCCACAGCCTTGGGAATGCAAAGTTTGACCCCTCAGCTAAAGCGATGGCCTCTAGATAACACCCATATAAAGCTACCTTTCCTCCTTTATAATTAGCAAGTAATCTGAGGGCTGATACTTCAAGGCTGAAGCCTGGAAGGAGAAGAGCAATTACTGGTGGTGGAGTGAAACCCATGATTCATTGACAATTCTGTGAAAGAAGAAAATTAATGCAAGAATATTGAGGAGAAAAATAAGTGTTCCAGCAAAAGAAAAGATCATCGGAGTAAACAGACATTCTACAGAATAGGAGAAACTTTGCAATCTATCCACCTGACAAAGGTCTAATATCCAGAATCTACAAGGAACTTAAAAAAATTTACAAGAGAAAAGCAAAGAACCCCATTAAAAAGTAGGCAAAGGATATAAACAGACACTTCTCAAAAGAAGACATACATGCGGCCAACAAACATATTTTTAAAAAAGCTCAACATCACTGATCATTAGAGAAATGCAAATCAAAACCACAATGAGATATCATCTTATGCCAGTCAGAACGGTGATTATTAAAAAGTCAAGAAACAACAGATGCTGGCGAGGTTGTGGAGAAATAGGAATGCTTTTACACTGTAGGTGGGAATGTAAATCAGTTCAACCATTGTAGAAGACAGTATGGTGATTCCTCAAAGACCTAGTACCGGAAATACCATTTGACCCAGCAATCCCATTACTGGTTATACACCCAGAGGAATATAAACCATTCTATTATAAATAAAGATATATGCACACATATGTTCATTGCAGCACTATTTACAATAGCAAAGACACAGAATCAACCCAAATGCCCAATTATAGACTGGATAAAGAAAATGTGGTACATATACACCATGGAATACTATGCATCCATAAAAAGGAATGAGATCATGTCCTTTGCAGGGACATAGATGGAGTCGAAAACCATTATCCTCAGCAAACTAACGCAGGAACAGAAAACCAAACACCACATGTTCTCACTTATAAGTGGGAGCTGAACAATGAGAACACATGGACACAGGGAGGGGAACAACACACACTGGGGCCTGTGGGGGGTGTGGCGGGAGGGAGAACATCAGGATAAATAGCTAATGCATGTGGGGCTTAATACCTAGGTGATGGGTTGATAGGTGCAGCAAATCACCATGGCACATGTTAACCTGTGTAACAAACCTGCATGTCCTGCACATGAATCTGGAACTTAAAATATTAAAAATAAAAATAAAAAGAAGTGCCCCCTATCCTGCATCACTTCCTTTACACACCACACACACACACACACACACACACACACACACACACACCATGGACCTTTGGAGATACCAGGAAGGGGAATAAAGGGATACCCAGAGTTTATGAGATGAAGGCTTGAGCCATTCTATTCTCATATTAAAATAAAAGGTAATGCAGAAGCTGGGAGAATTGGTGGCATCAAGGTGGCAGACCCCCTTGGCAGGCTGTTTGCAATAACGAATCTAATTTGTTTAGGCCTCCAGTACCCCTCGTTCTTTGGCAGTGCGTTCTAACATGGACCCTGAACTTGGCCATATGGCTCGCTTTGGCGGATGGGACAATATCAAAGGATGCAAGCGGAGACTGAAGAAGTGCTCGTACATTGGGGCTGCCTTCTTGCTGCTCTTGAAACCTTAAGACCACCACGTGAGTGAACCCAGGCTAGCCTGCTCAAGGATGAGACTACATGCCCAGTGGTGTTTGGATCATAATCCCCAAAAAACACAATCCCAAATGTCATAATCCCAAATGTTAAAATGCTGCAATATCAAAGTTCCTAAAATCTTAATCCCTAAAGTCTAAAATCCTTAACGTCTAAAATCCCAAAAAATCACAATCATGGGATAGTTGCACCATCTTAGATGAAACTATTACCCTACTATTGTTTTCATTTGGAAATTAAGTGTGGTTTAAGAAGATACATATGGGTGCCAATTTGCAAGGGATGGATTTTTGGAATTAATTTTGGGTGCCAACTTGATCATAGAAGTGAAAATACAGGCGAAAAATATAAGAAATCTCCCCTGCCAAATTATTTAATCATGTATGATTTCTGCCCCTTCACGCATAGCCTTTTTAAAAAATGCCCTTCATCAGAAAATGAAAAAGAATTCAACAAGCTCAGTGACCTTCTGAACCAAAGACACTTCCTGATATTGCGGTTCCTCCAGAGTTAACATGTTAAATGGTAATCTATTCTTGATTAGGGATTTGACTGTTGAAGAATCTAGACTTCTTATATTTACCACTAAATGTAACATAGAAAAACTAGCACATAGTTCATTTTGGTGAATGAATGGCACTTTCAAAACTCTCCTCACTGTTTTTTTTTATCAACTGTATACAATTCATGCTCTTTTGGATTCAATAACTCTAGAACTTGTTTGCTTGTTTATATATTAAGGACTGGGAAAAGTGAAGTACTTTATAAGTATATATTTGAAGATTTGAAATTTGCAGAAGAAAATGGATTTAGAATTAGATCTGATCAAGGCTTCTAAAAGTGAATTTCAAGGTGTTACCAAAAAGTTTGTCTTTTCCATTCAGCACAATTCAATCAGCAGAAAGTTCAGATGAGTGGATTGGCCACGAGATACAGCAATGACAAAATATTTTACATTTTATTAAGATAAGTTCCTATTTAGTCTTTCTGTTTTTTAAGACAGAGTCATGCTCCGTCACCCAGGCTGGAGTACAGTGGCACAGTTACAGCTCACTGTAGCCTTGAACTCCTGGGCTCAGGGGATCCTCCTGCCTCAGCACCCCAGAGTGTTGGGATTATAGGCATGAGCCACCATGCCCAATCCTGTGTTGCCTTTATCAGGTTTTTTGTTGCTTAGGAAAACTAAGCTTTAAAAAGGCTAAGGTTTACATCCATGTAGTTTTCTGTATTGTCTTTGAGGTCTTTTGATTATCATTCTTGGTTAAATGAATAACTATTATTTTACAATGACCTGTGATTCTGTTTTGATGAAATGTTTTGAGGCTTTTAACATCTTTGACAAATGTCCTCAAAATTAAATCCTAAATTAAGTCTCTAACTTACACTTATTGCTGGGAGCTGAAAACGTTTAGAACCTTTTTTCAGTTTCTAGTCAGGTCATGAACTCCAGTATCACCACCTCCAGCCCGATGACTACATATACTGTAAGAGACATCAGTTAAAGCACTCCCTCCAGTACCACCAAAAGGATCCTCACCAGGTGCTATTAACTAATCCTAGTGCTGCTAAGTTACAGGGAGTCGACTCCTGGGTACACATATCTTATCTGAAAGTGTACTGACTCCTACCTAATCTCAAATATTAATACCGGTATCTGACACCAAACTCAAGTGAACCAAAACCTCATCTTCAGACTCGGAAGAAGGCAACAATCAAAATGAACTGCTGTTATGAGACACGGGGCCAGGCCTGGATTCAAAGATATTAAGACTTATTTAATAATTTTGCCTCTTTCTAAATTATTACAATTTGTTCTATGTTTTGATGTTACATAATTCAAATGCTTAGCTAGCTGTGAGCTTCCTTTTCTTGTCACTGTCAAAACTAGACAAAGCTTATAACTTTTTGTTGGAAATGTTGCTGATTCTTTATGTTTTGTTTCCCAGAGTCAAGAAAACCTTTTTTAGCCAGGTGCAGTGGCTAACACCTGTAATCCCAGTACCCTGGGAGGCTGAGACAGGATGACCACCTGAGCCCAGGAGTTCGAGACTAGCCTGGGCAACATAGCAAGACCCCATCTCTAAGAAAATAATAATTTTTTTTTAAAAAAACACCTTTTTTCTTTTGAGCTAAACAGAGCTTACAGCAAGGATCCCCAAGCCTTAGGCCACCAACTGATACCAGTCTGTGGTCTGTTATGAACCGGGCTGCATAGCCAGCAAGCGAGCATTACCACCTGAGCTTTGCCTCCTGTCAGATCAGCCCAGCCTAGATTCTTACAGGAGTGTCAACCCTATTGTGAACTGTGCATGCCAGGGATCTAGGTTACATGCTCCTTATGAGCACCTAATGCCTGCCTGATGATCTGAGGTGGAACAGTTTCATCCCCAAACCATCCTCCCCACCCCACTGCCCGTGGAAAAATTGTCTTCCATGAAATCAGTCCCTGGTACCAAAAAGGTGGGAGACCACTGGCTTACAGCAAGTAGATAAAGTAACAAAGTTTACTTTTGTCTCTCTACCTGTCTCCAAAATTTGAAAACTATTCAATCACGCTGGACCCAATATGTTATCCATTGCCAACACACTGCTATTAATGCTATACAATACCAAGTACCCTCCCTCTAGGCCCAGGGACTATCATGAAAGAGATGGACACATGAGACTCCAGTTTTGAGGGGTAAAATTAGTTCAGACCCTCCAAATCAAAAACAGGCACACCGACGCCTAAATAGCTGACAAATTGAAGGACTTTGCCTCCTGGGCCACTATGTGGCCTCTTTCCATCCATCCTGACCATAAAGAATTTCCTGCTTCCCATAGACTTAAAGAAGAGTTACCAAGACGACATTGAGATACCTGGTGACAAAGCCTACTGGTGTAGGTGTTCCTGGTTATGGGGTTTATACAAATAGAGATATGATAAAAAAAATTTTATCAGTCACTTAGAACAAATTACTAAAAAGATCACAGAAGGCATTACGGCACAACAAAAAATCTCTAAATTCCTTAGCTCAAATGGTTTTAACAAAATGCTTCTGTTTTATAAAGCTAATTGCTACAAGTCTGGCTCGATGAATAAAACTTATAGATAAGTTAATTTTATAAGTTTGCTTTTTTGACTTTTAGTTTTCGGCTCTTACGCTGCTTAGAAAATTTAAGGGTTTAAAATTTAAAAATTTTAATAAGTGCCTGCTCACCTCTATTCCCATATGGCCTGGAATGTGAATTGGCTGTACATCTTTGGCTGTAAGTCTTTTGAACATAGGGGTCCCACCAACAGAATGGATGGATTCAGAGCAGGTGGCCACACCATCCGGGCAATGATATGGAACAAAAATAAAAGTTTGGCAATCAATCTGCTTCTGAAAAATCTCAGCCAAAAGGGGGAAATAAGAAACAAAAATAAAATCTAAAGCCCCCCCAACCAACTAAATGGACCCCTTTTGGCCAAGGGAACCCCAAAGAAACCTTAAAACCTGAGTTCCCAGCTGTGATGGGATGGGAAGTCAGTCACTCCTCATTCTATTCCCTCCCTTTTGTGGTTTGGAAACAACAATTGACCAGCATTAATATTCAAATAGGTATCATGAAACTGACAGAATGGACTTTTTGTGGCAATAAGATACAAATTATTAAGAAGACCTGAGGCCATGCCAGGCAAAGGTTACATCATGGACCTCTCCCTACACTTAAAGAATAAGCAATTTCTAACTGCCACGAGGTTTTTCTTTTTCTCTAGCAGCTAAACGATCACTGGCCTTGAGATAAGCAATATTAAAACAATTTGCAGCTCATCCACCACCAGACGCTGACTAACTAACCCCCTATTCCACAAGCCATAACTACAGCTTTGATGAGACAAGAGACTGGTTTCAGTAACCTCGCCCTGCAAGAGACCACTGACTACGGACTGGTTCTGGCCGGTTTACAGAGGCTGCACACGTGAGTGCCTTCATGCCTCTGTTTCACCCTTTGATGGATAGTGCCTAATTATAATGCACTTATATGTTAAGTCTCCACCTCAAAGTGAACATGGGATGCATGTAACACATATGTTTGCTTATCATGCATGAGTTACGACCACCTTCGTGTATATCCATAGTGCCTCCTATAACCTGTTGAATGTGTATACTTGGCCAGCCCATTCAGCATAAATTTCTTTCTCATCTTTCTTTCCCTCCCATGAATTGCCCGCCTTTGCTTTCTGCTGGAGGCTGTGCTTCCCAGCCTGTCAGAATGGCCACCCTGCAGGCTGTAACCCTTTATAAGAAATAAAGTCTCCTCTCCAAATTTAAGACCACCTTGTGATTTTTCAGTTAACATATCAAACTTAAAATCAACATCTTGTGAATTTCTATATACATACTTATTTTCATACAAGAGGCATATGTGCAGCTGAAAGATACATTGGAACTTCTAAATCTTCTTTAGTTGGGTTAACATAGACACACTGTTCAGTAGAAACACCAGGTTTCGGCCAGGCGCAGTGGCTCATGCCTGTAATCCCAGCACTTTGGGAGGCTGAGGTGGGTGGATCACTTGAGGTCAGGAGTTCGAGACCAGCCTGGCCAACATGGTGAAACCCCATATCCACTAAAAATACAAAAAATTAGCTGGGCGTGGTAGCACACACCTGTCATCCCAGCTACTCAGGAGGCTGAGGCACGAGAATCACTTGAACCTGGAAGATGGAGGGTGCAGTGAGCTGAGATCACATCACTGCACTCCAGCCTGAGACAGCAAGACTGTCTCCAAAAAGAAAAGAAAAGAAAAAAAGAAACACCAGGTTTCAATGAAGACCAATCAAGCCAACCTCAAACACATTTGTTGAAAAAAGTTGTAAGAAAATCTCATAATAGGAGAACTCAAATTTTGCTCCATATTAGAATCATTTGGAGAAGCTTTTAAAAATCCCCAAATCCAGGCCACACTCCAGACCAATTAAGTCAGAATCCCTGGGATTACGCTCCAGATATCAGTGTTTCTTTCACTGCTCCCTGGGTGACTGCAATGTACAGCTAAGGCAGAGAACCAGAGCCACCAAGCGTGCCTGTTTGTAAGCGTGTTTTCAGGTGTAAGATGTAAGTCATTTTGCAGCCTGAGTAATTGAGAGAAATAAGAATAGAGAAGCATAAGAAGACATGTTCACTCATCTCCAGTTTCTACTCACAGCAATTTCACGTCCTAGTGAGGGTAATATAAAATGAGTGCTCTGATGACCAACCTTCACAATTGTTCAATAATGCTTCATTAGATTATTTTTTCTCTGCCAGCGTGCCTCCTAAACTCTGGACACTTACCAAAACACTCCAGAAGATTTCCAACTGTGTAATTAGAAGATTAAATGACTGAACCATTTTCTCAATAACTCTCTCCAGTCTGAGGATTCTCTATTCCATCACTTCCTGCCTGGCAAAAAGCATTTTTAAATCTCTTCATGAATGTTATTCTTGGCTTGCTATTCTGAGTTCCTTGGACTCTACATCCCAACAATTTTATGGCTCAACGAAAAAACTCCTAAACTGTGTGTACGAAAGTCATTGCGTCTACATTGTGACTTTCCCATAAGTGTCTTTTGTTGCTCAGGGATTTCATCTGCATTTTACAACCTGGCTCCTACAAATTCTCCACAGCTTTTAAAACCAAACATCTCTAAAATAGGCCAAACTATTTTTCTCTCTAGACTTTTACAACCTTCCAAGGCACCACTGAATAGTTAGATGCCTAAGTCACATCACACCTACAGTGTAAGACATGACGTATAGCCCGATATTCTCTGAGAAAGAAAATAACACACTAGGGTGGGAAGTTAGAAGAAATTTCGAACCTTTGCAGACGCTTTGCTCCAAATAAGATTGATTCGACCAATTTCGCCCAAGTTGCTAGTGTGACTATAGATATTCCCTGCCAGGAGTGTCCTATCCAGCCCAGAGGTGAGCCTTAAACTGAATCAAGTTAGTTATTTTTGTAGCAGTAAACACACAATACAATCTGAAATAGAAAACCTAGGAGCATCCATAATATCTCAAAAAATAGTCTAAGGTCAATTATAAGTATGTTGACCTCCAACTATAAGAAGAGAAAATGCCTTGTCATTTCACAAAGGCTAATAGGATGACATTTTGAAATACGTGCCCAGCAATATTGGGTCTAAAGGAATGGTGAGGAGAGGAGGGAAGGGCAGTCAGTGGCAATGGAAGTTCCATGTCACCAGAACAGCGGAGAAAAGAAGCCCAGTCACTGGTCATTGTGTTTCTGCTCCATCCTTCTCTTTCCCTGCCTCAAACCCAGCTTGGCCAGTCTTCCTAGTTTTAAAGTGAATAATGACCCATCAGGCAAGCCTGCTCTTGCAGGGAGAGACGAAAAGAGAATCAGGGGCCCTTGACACAGCCTGGAGTCTCATCAAGCACAGGAGGGGGAAGTGAGGCCTGGGTGATGCAGAGGACACCAGCGGATTTCTGGAAAAATGCAGATGGGTTTTTATGTCTGATATGGGAACAAGGCTGAAAATTACAAACAGATTTCAGAAAGCCATGTGCCACTTTATAGGGAAGGGCTTCTAACAGAGTTCAAAGACAAATAGTCTTTCTCTGAGCTGGATATCCTCATTCAGGGTAGGGAGTGGGGGCTGGAGAAGCCATCTAGACATGCCTCCACCTACCCCTGCCCCTCTCCTGGCAGACAGGACCCTGTGCCTTCCTAGGTGTTTCAAGTTTCTGAAATGAAATTTCTCAAAGAAGAATGTCTATTCCTTCCTATAATAAACCACTTGTTTTTCAATGGTAAGTCCCAAAAAATTACCTTTGATTTCACTCATTTATTTGATGGTACAGATTGAGCCCACACGAGCTCTGTTTTTTCCTTTAGCTATACATAGTAACACATTTATCTATGATTCTATTCAATCATATCCTCCACACTTACAAAAAAGGTTTGCAGTTTCTTAATGGAATATGCCAGGACAGAATACCTCCAGCCCCACAGTAGCATGCTCTGCCTGAGAAGGGTAGGGGGGAAAGTTCTAGAGCTGTTTCTGTTCACGGGAATGGAGGAGAGAAGTGCTGCCCTCCCCACCCACCTGCATAGAAGACACTATGTGAATCTGCCAGCCTCTACCCCAATTAGCCACAGCTAATTGGATCGACAATGGACAAGCGTTGTCATGGGCTGTTGCCTGGGTTGTGCTCTGCACAAGGAGAGGAGTGGGTAGGTGCAAGAGAAGCCTAGGTTGTGAGCACTGGCTCAGGGCTGCATCTGCCTGGTGAAAGGGTGCCCTTTTCAAGTAACACAAATGCACCCTGTGGGCTACTGGCTACCCGGGTAAATGCTTGACCCAGCTGGGTCAGTTAAATTCTCTCTCTCTCTTAGGCATGTCAGATTCCTGGGCTTTAAAACTAGGAAGTCTGTCCAAATTGGGTCTGGCACAGGGAAAGAGAAGGACGGAGCAGACACAAAATTAAGATGTAGAGAACCAGGCAGAGCCCCCAGAGAGGGGAGACACAAGCAGCTAGGATGACCCTCAAGCTGTGATTCTGGGTCCCCAAGAGTCCTGACTTGGGTTCTGTGACACACACCACAGCTATCTACCCCAGATTCCTCTCCCCAGCTTGGATTTAAGTGCATTTCTGGTGGTTGCAAAGAAGGATGCTTCCTTGAGGCAAAGGCTTTGTGAAAAGCTACTTCCCGGGCATCTTTGAGATGGACTGCCTGCATCCTATGCCTGGTCAGTATAACCCCACTGATGGGGCCCCCTGACTTATGGAGGGTTCACCAGTATACTCAGCTGTTTCTTCAAGGAGACTTTACACCGGTTAACCATTTGACAAGATGGCTCTTAACCAGTTGTTTGGCTATTAGAAAATATTTGTTCCAAACTACCTGGGGTTTGATCATTCCCCAGTTAAATTTTCAAAGGCACTGAATGTGTCAAAATGAAATGCGTTGTTTACAAGGTCTCACATATCTAACTTTTGTTTTTGTTTTTTATGTATGCAATCTTTGTTACACAAGTAATTCATGACTTCTGTGCATCAGTTTAAAAACAGGAACATTAAAAATTCCTCCATAACTCCACCACCTAGAAGCAATCACTGCTAACACATTGCAGTTTCTCATTCCAAGGTATTTTTCACTTGTCTGAGTATCTAGATTTTAACCACCTTTCTGTTACAAGAATTGCCTTCTTGGAGAGCCTGCCTGCCTTGATGTGCCATTTTCATTAGTAACAGTTTTTAAGGTGAGGCTAAAAGAGCTTAGGGGGAAAAATAATAACTACAGTAGCCTATTTGAGCGACCATCAGGCACAGATGACAGACTCTATCATTTAGTTCTGGGAGTTGCCAGACTTTTGTCTAAACCAATCCAATTGCCAAATTATCCCCCTTAGAGTGTTAAAGTGCTGCCTGCAAAGGAAAACGTGGAATTAATAGCTGTTCCTTTCTTTATTTTTTTATTTTATTATTATTATACTTTAAGTTTTAGGGTACATGTGCACAATGTCCCTTTCAAGAGCTGTTCCTGTCTGCTTTAAGAAAAATAGCAACAATCACTACCTCAAGACATAAAATAGAAGTCAGCCCCCAGCCTGTAAAACTTGAACCCACCAGACAGGCCTCAGAAAGGTTGTGATATTAACTAGCCTGGGAAGGTGCACAGAAGTAAATGGGGAGATGCTGACTTCAGAACTCTCTGAAATTCAATATCCAGAGACTCAGATTTAGTTAGTTGGCATTAAATAACAAGGAAGTTGCAGTCTAAACTCTAGCTTTGCACGTCATGATGCCAAGAGCATTCTGTGGGAATGAACGTGCCATGGGGAAAACAGTGAATATCAGGGAGGGCTTTTGCTGTTTAAAAAAAAAACCAAAAAACTAACAAACAGGCCGGGCGCGGTGGCTCACGCCTGTAATCCCAGCACTTTGGGAGGCCGAGGCGGGTGGATCACGAAGTAAGAAGATTGAGACCATCCTGGCTAACACGGTGAAACCCCGTCTCTACTAAATGTACAAAAAATTAGCCGGGCGTGGTGGCGGGCGCCTGTAGTCCCAGCTACTCGGGAGGCTGAGGCAGGAGAATGGTGTGAACCCGGGAGACGGAGCTTGCAGTGAGCCGAGATCGTGCCACTGCACTCCAGCCTGGGCGACAGAGCGAGACTCCGTCCAAACAAACAAACAAACAAACATTGAGGAGGTGGTAGCATGGAATAGAACCAGAAGAAGGGGCAATCTCGTGGGGCAATCCAACGTGGACAATGTCAGTGGAGGGCTCACTTCTTCACTTCCTACCTTTTGAGGTTTTATAACATGGTTATTTATAAAGTTTCACCTCAGCCATCTCTCATCTACATTTTCCCCTCCTTTCACTCCACCCTCATCTCTAGCTGGGTCTCTCCGTTACGAGGCTGGGGCTCAGCAAATAAAAATGTATGTCTGTGGAATCAACCTAAATGCTCATTAATGTCAGACTAGATAAAGAAAATGTGGTACATATACACCATGGGGTACTATGCAGCCATAAAAAAGAATGAGATCATGCCCTTTGCAGGGACATGGATAGAGCTGGAGGCCACTATCCTAAGCAAACTAACACAGGAACAGAAAACCAAATACCATGTGTTGTCACTTATCAGTGAGAGCTAAACAATGAGAACACATGGATACTAGGAGGGGAACAGCAGATACTGGGGCCTACCTGAGGATAGAGGGTGGGAGGAGGGAGAGGCTCAGAAAAGACACCTATCGGATACTTATGCATATTACAAAATTATCTTTACACCAAACCCGCGTGACATGCAGTTTAGCTATATAACAAACCTGCACATGTACCCCTGAACCTACAAGTTAAAAAAGACGTTTGCCTGTGTGGGGCCTCCTTCTGTCCCCAGTCCTGCTTTTGCTGTACAGAAACCCAGTGGCCCCCGCTGGTCCTACCCATAACATATCCTCATCCTCCCTCCTAAAGAGTCCCCTTGGGTCACGGATGGTGTTGTGTGGTGAAGCGGGTGCATGTATCATAAGATGTGGCTGGAAGCAGGTGTGCAATTCTGGTTCACACACCCTCTCCCCAACTCTCATTTACCATTTCCCTCAAAGGATAGCACAGCACCAATGTCCCATGGCCCTGGATGCCTTTGTCTAGGGATATCTTTTATCTCTTCCACTGAGGATGTCTGCGATGGGAACAGTAAGGTTTTGGAGCTATAGGCTTTATTCCCAGTTCAAACTCAAATGATACAGAGGCCAAAAATGTGCCACCAGCTGCACAATGTGAACTCCTGAGGCTGCAAGCCACCCCAGCACCTCCCAGCTCTCATCCCTACCAAAGGATTTCTGAACTTAAATGCTAGATACCTTCTGTTTTAAAAGACTTGCATGTGTGTGATTCAGGCCATTTATTGGGCATGTAGTTTCTCAAAATCTACTCCCAGTTCCCTGAACAAGCTACGCCTTTGGATAACCTGGCATCTCTCATCTCCCCATCCTTGCCCCAGATCAGCTACACCCCAGCCTTCACTTTTCAAAGTCTTGCAAGCCACGTGTGTTACACAGAGCTGGTCCTCAAAAACAGCATGATGAACTTGTCACTGCTTTTAACTTTCTCTTCCCAGCTTGTGTGTGTTTTTAGTGATGTTTTCAACTGGTAGAGCTTCAAAAAATGTACAAACTGAATTAAATGTAGGAGAAAAGCCCCAAAACCGAATGTTTTACTTTTAAAATGAAAGAAAAGCAGTCACACAATCTTGGCTGATACACAATATTACAAGAGAGAAAACAAAATGCCCCTCTGTTGGGAAGATGTTCTGCTGTTTCTAGGCAGGATTCATTAAGGCCCATTTCTTCTAGTCAATGATTTCCATCAGAGTGTTTTTAGTTTTCCTTTTTTTTCTTTTTGATAGGAAACTTGGTAAAGAATGAATACTCAAAGAAGCCAAGAAAGTGTTATTGATAAGTGGAATAAGAATCTCCCGGCATGGGGCCAATGCATGTGTATTTTGAAAAAGGTCTCAAAACACACACCAGTTTGAGAGCCGCCATTACAGTCTGTCAATACCAGGCCATCTGGGCTGGAATGCCCTTGGCCCCAGGGGCAAGTGTGGGTCTTGGGAAGCTTATTCATTCCTCTCCCATTTTTTTCCAGTTCTTACTTCAATACCACACTCCTCCTGAGGCAGGAAGATTTCATTCAAGTCAGTGCAGTAGAAGAAGCCTAGATTTTGGAGTCTGGTTTGAATCCCAACTCTGCCACCCACCAGCTAGCTGTGTGACATTTAAAACTTAACCTGTCTGAATCTGAATCTGTTAGGATTCCTTGATAGTAAGCAACAGAATTCAGCTCTGAGCAAATGAAGTTAAAAAGAGAAATTACTGAAGCAATAAGGTGGCTCACAGAATCAAAGCAATGCTGAAGGAGCAAGGCAGGCAGCTCTGGGATCCAAGACGGGGGAGCTAAGTGGGGGGATTGCATCATTTGGACCCATTCTTCACCTCTCCCCACATCCATGCCCTTTGCAGGTCACTTTGCAGCACGCACCCATCATGCGTGGGGTGAATTGCCCCAACTCGTGACTCTAGACTCAGGATGTAAACCCTAACCCTACTCCCCGCCCCACAACAATAAACATCATCACTCAAATCTTTGTCTCAAGATCTGCTTTTAGGGAAATCCAACCCAAGACACCTCAGGGCACAAGCCAAAGTCACGTTTTTCAAAATATTCAAGTTAATTAACTCAGAGCTCTATGTTGCTCATAGTGAAAATGGCTTTCTCTCTCTCCTGACTCCTCCCATAATGAGCCCAAGCATACCCAAAGCCCGTTTTGTTTGCGTTGGAACTTATGTAGTAAAGTCCAGGTAACTGGGTCACCTCTCAGGGGCTGCATTGTGGAAAGCGGGCAAAGAGTTTGACTTTTTACTTTCCAAATGTCTACACTATGTGAATTTTTCCCACCTGAGTGTTCCCAAACGCCCCTGCCCCTGACCTCAGGCGAAGGAGGGGGTTCTCATCCTTTCCTGAGCTCAGGGCAAGACAGCATGTGAACACCTGGAGAGAGGGGCTTCAGCTGGAAGAGGACAAGCCAGAGAAGATGAGGCTTAACATAAACTGACACCCAAGTGCCTCCTTATAAAACTAAACCCTTTCTGGCCGGGCGCGGTGGCTCACACCTGTAATCCCAGCACTTTAGGAGGCTGCGGCAGGCGAATCACAAGGTCAGGAGATCGAGACCATCCTGGCTAACACGGTGAAACCCCATCTCTACTAAAAATACAAAAAATTAGCCGGGCGTGGTGGTAGGCGCCTGTAGTCCCAGCTACTCGGAAGGCTGAGAGGCAGGAGAATGGCGTGAACCTGGAGGCGGAGTTTGCAGTGAGCCGAGATCACAGCACTGCACTCCAGCCTGGACGACAGAGCGAGACTCCATCTCAAAAAAGAAAACAAAAAACAAACAAAAAAACCAAACCCTTTCTATAATCTACCAAACATGGATCTGAACTTGGAAGCCTCAGTCTTTCTTATTAGTTAAAGCACCGTCCTGTCCTTCATCTGCCCTGCCAGTGAACAAGGTCGTTTCCACGAAGGGATTTCATTAACCAAACTCGCCATCATAGAATCCAGTTTTGAATGCATCGAGGAGCTGCTTCTTGCAAGAACTTTGCTCTCTCAACCCACCTTCCTCCCACCACCGCCTCTCTCTGAGGGCTCGGAAAACTTCCTGAAACAGTTTTAACAGCAATTACAAATTTCTGACCAAAAGCTCTCTAGCTTTCATGTAAGCTTACCTTTTTCTTGGGTCTTTCTCCATAGACAGGGAGCATGGCTGGCGGGCACTGACCCTGATACCTTGTCTCAGTCTTGACTATCACCTTCCTCCCCTAGAGGCAGATGGAAGCCGAAGAGGGAAAAATACCTGGGCCAGGTGAGTCAGCAGGTGTATCCTACAGAGTCACTCTGCAGAACCCCATGAAAGCCAGCTGGATGGAAGGAAAGGTAGTGCCAGGGTCAATGCACCTTGAACCATTAATTAAGCTTCTCCTTTTCCACCTAGGATTCGTAGAGTTTAATTACATTTACTTTCAAAGTTAAAAAGTTTACCTAACGATATATCTGCAGTCAATAACAAGGGCACATTCTTGATTTGCTGATTAATTACTCCTGGAGAGACACACAGACACGCACAAAAATCACTTGAGGTCATTTTCTTGAGAATAGTGTTGTTTTCAATTTCTTGTTATCCTAAACAATACTACTATCAATATCCTTGTAGAGAAATCTTTACCTGCTTCATTCGTTATCTCCATAGAATAAAGTCATAAAAATAGAATTTCTGGATTAAAGATTAAGAGAGGTATATTTTTAAGACCTTTTTTTTTTTGAGACAGGATCTTACTCTGTTGCCCAGGCTGGAGTGCAGTGACACGATCATAGCTCATTGCAGCCTCAAACTTCTGGGCTCAAGTGATTCCACCTCTGCCTCCCAAGTAGTTGAGACCACAGGCATTTACCACCATGCCCAGCTAATTTAAAAAAAAATTTTGTGGAAACGGGGTCTCACTAGGTTGCCCAGGCTGGTCTCAAACTCCTGGCCCCAAACCATCTTTCCACCTTGGCCTCCTAAAGTGCTGGAATTACAAGCATGAGCCACTCTGCCTAGCCTCAAGGCTTTTTAATATGTATTGGAAAATCAAGCTCCAGAGAATCTGTATTCATTTCTTTACAATTAAGAAAGTTTACATATAAAACCTTTATAAACCTGAAGATCCATGTGGCTTTGTCTTAGAAAGGAGTCACTTTCAAGAAACATAAATCAAATGTCAAAAGTAATTTAGGGGCCAGGTGCTGTGATTCACACCTGTAATCTCAGCATTTTGGTAGGCTGAGGCAGGAAGATCGCTTGAGCCCAGGAGTTCAAGACCAGCCTGGGCAACATGGCAAGACTTCGTTTCTTGTTTTTGTTTTTGTTTTGTTTTGTTTTCTAAAAATTAAAAAAAAAAATGCTGGGCGTGGTTTTGGGCGCCTGTATTTCCAACTGTTAGGGAGGCCAAAGCTGAAAGACTGCTTGAGTCTGGAAAGTCCAGGATGCAGTGAGCCACAATCACACTAGGGCACTCCAGCCTAGGTGACAGAGAGAGACCCTGTTCCCAAAAAGTAAAAATAAAAATAAAAAAAAAATCTGGGGTCAAGCGCAGTGGCTCGAGACTGTAGTCTCAGCTACTCAGGAGCCTGAAGTGGGAGGATCACTTGAGCCTGAGAGTTTGAGGCTGCAGTGAGCTATGATTGTTCTATTGCACTCCAGCTTGGGTGACAGATTGACACCCTGTCTCTAAAAAATAAATAAGTAAATAAATAAATAGTAAAAGTAATTTAAAAGAAATTACCTGAAAATCAAATTTACCTGACACACCCTGAGTTCTCTGTCCCCTTTATACACACGCTGACACATATTCTGAGTAGTGCAGTGGGAGAGGGGATCCTAAATGTGGTTCCATCTGGCAATCTCAGGCTGACCCAACAATTCAACCCTCCCTTTTAGGGAGTATCTTTGAGAGATGTTATTCTGAGGCGGTGTTAACCCACTCCAATCTCCTGGATTTATACTAGTGGAGTGGCTGCCATGGAATAGGATTCGTGGGGGAAATAACAAAAAACATTCAGATTTAATGTTGTCGAAATATTATACCTGTTAAATTTTTATTATTCGTGTCTCTTGAGTGGATTCAAACATATAATCTTCTGGCTCTGTATCAAAGTATCCTTACCTCATCCATTTTCCTCACATCCAGTTGTTTGTAGATAATGCCTCCCCTGAGGCTCTGCAGCAACTCCTGCCTGCATGGATTTTCTTTCCTCCCCTTTCCCTTTTCCCCTCCCTCAGCACTTTATCATGTAGTTCAGCTAAGCCTCCCTCACCCAGAAAGACTTCAGACAGAAAACTCTTTCAGAGACAAGAAGAGACTTTGGACTTGCAATTAGAGAAATCTCTTTGACTAGAAGGGGAAGTCATCTCCATTTCCCCAGTTCTTGCCAGCTTTGTGAGCCCAAGTGGGGATGTAAGTTGCCTCCAAGTATATAATGCAAAGTCTCCAGCCCCTCTCAAAATCCCACTCAGCCCACCCAGTTTCTCTGGGTTCACACCCAGTTCAGTCTATGAACTCCAGCAGAAGTATGGCTCCTGCCCGCCTCATCAAAGGCAATGTCCCCTCTGCTGCCCTCCTGTAGCAGATGTGAGAGTGACGGCCTGCCCAGAATCTCCTCTGCTCACCTGCAGATGCAGTTCCAGGCACCATGACACCTCCCATCCAAGGCCTGAAGCTCTCTTCTTTTCAGCCTTGGGCTTTCTGCACCACACCGGGACACAACTCAAAAGTGAGGGAAATTCTGGCTCTCAGGGAATCTGTCCATCAGTAGGGGGTAGGAATCGATGGCTGAATGTCCAGCCTCCCCGCGCTGCTGTGAACAACCATGAGGCATGTTCTACACGGTCTGCAGGTCAACTGGAGTGAGCCGCAGTGGCACCCTGCTCGTTAGCATATCGTGTATGGGCCCTTCTCCCTTCCCTGCCTCACTTCCCCTCCCCCTGTGTGTGCTTCCCGGGATCTGCTCCCAATAAACTACCTGCACTCAGGTCTTTGTCTGGGAGTCTCCTTGGGGGAAACCTAAACTAAGACAACTCCCCGTAGCACTCTGTTGCACTGTTTTCTAAGCACCCACTGTCTCCCTGGGGACCACATGTCCATCCCCAGAAAAAGCTCCTACTCTGCTGAGGGTGGTCAGGACTTGGAGTTACTACAGCGACATCTGTGGGTCGCCAGATCTGTGTGGAAGCAACCATGCCTTAACTCATCTCAGAGGATTCCATGAAAGCACCAGCGGGCAGATGGTCCCAGGGGTCTGTTTGCCCCCATTGAATAGGGCAGGCATGGTCCATGAGCGAAGAAGCCTCTAGCTGAAGTTGGTAAGTATGCACTATTGCAAAGAATGTGTCCAGGGCGTACAACTGGCCACCCCATCATCTCCCCCACTCAAGCAACAGAGCTTTTTTGCCTCCATATCTGGAAGTTGCCCTGAGCATGTAGAACACCTGCCCAATCGCAGCCCCTCCCCAGGAGGAAAGCAAACAGCTGGCTCTCTTGCCTTTGATCATGCGGGAGAGATGCTAAGAGGTAGGGAGAGTGGGGTCAGGTTCCAGGTAAGGTGGGAAAAGCAGAATCACAGAATGTCACAACCTGAAGGAGTTTGAAGTTCATTTATCCAAAAATTTTTAATTGGCAGCCTTGTGGACTGTGTTCAGTCTGAGACAGGTTCTCTTTGACCAAAACAAGATTTTTGCTTTAACGAACCCAAAGACTATTTTTAAAGTTCTCGAATTCCAGATTCTCTTGAAAACAATGGGAAGCTCTGACAAAGTGGAGTCCATGTTCCCACCTGCCAATAATCCGCTGGCTGGGGTTTAACGATGGGGAACACCTTTTTAGACCTTCAGGGTCCTGCCACAGGTTCAATCCTGTATGCCCAGAGCTTCCTGGGCACCAGTCATTTGAATGGGCAGTTCCTGTGTTTAACCAGGAAGGTCGTGGGAGGATTTCGAACCTGTCAGAAGCAAAGTGAAGGGCTCCAGACTCTCCGGACAGATGGGCTGAGGCACTCCTGGGATTGTCTTTATACGGCCATGGAATCTGATAGTGGTGGTCATCGCAAAGTTTGGGTGAGGACTTCAGGGGCTTTGAGCAGAGCAAACTGTCCCCATCCCCAGCTTCCTCCTGGGGGCCTCCTCCTTCACCGCCATCTCCAAAGGCCCACACCGCACTCGTCGGAGCCGGGCTTTCCTTGAAAGGGTCACCTTCTAGTGGGCGCGGACGCTGGCACTGGGCACCTCCGGAAGACAGGACTCTCCCCTCCTGCGCGCGCGACCCGGGTGCGGTGCCACGACTGGCGGCAGAGGGCGGTGCTCACTGTTCCCAAGCGCACGGTAGAAACCCGGCTACTGTGTGGTCCGATTCAGACGGGATGCGAAGGCGCTGAAATCCGTGCGAGAGGCTGCCCCCGCTGCCGGGGACTCGCGTCAGCGCGGCCGGAGCTACGGTGCCCGCGCCCTGGACGCACCAGCCCGAGAGCACGCGGTGGGGTGGGGGAGCTGGGCATCCACCCTTGGCCTGGACTAGGAGGCAGGCGGGGACCCCGGGGCGGAGTCCAGCGCGGGGCGGGGCGCACAGGTCCGAGACGCTGGAAAGAGCTGTGGGGCCGGAGCGCCAACTCCAGCTGGAACCCAGAGACCCTGACACGCCGGAGGAGCCCGCCGGGGCGAGGAAAAAAGAGGGACATCCCCCACGCAGCGGCTCTGCAAGTGCAAGTCCGGGTCCTCGAGGTGAAAACCGAGCGGCCCGCCTGCGCCCAACCACACTGTGACTCTCGATCCGGCTTCCGGAGCAGCAGAGCGCACAGAAAGGAGGCGCCGAGACAGGTAAGGGCTTAGATCCCTGCAGTCCCGGGACTCAGTCGGTGCGGTGGGGGAGTCGCTAGGACAAGGGCCTCTGACGCCCACTTTTTTCTCGGGCATTCCGGCTGCTTTGCCTCCCGCCACTCTCGAGATATGCGTCGGGGCTGGCTCCAAGCAGGCGAGTTGGTTTCAGGAGATCCCCTCTGGGCCCTCTAGGACCGGGTAGGGTACGGTAAGCGGAGTCTGTGGTGTGCGGGCGCGGGCAGAGGGAGCCAGCGGGTAGCTGAGCTCGCGGACGAGCTCCAAATTGCAGGGGAGGGTGCAGGTAGAGGGGCACCTTCCTGAAAGGTGAGCAGGAAACAGCAAGCGTCCGTGGGGAAATTCCCGCGCACCGCATCCTCCACCCACCCGCCGTTTTCTTCCAGCCAGGAGGCACCGCAGCCTTTGCTTCTAGAGCCTGAATTTCTGACTTGATTCCTGTCTTTGCCAGGATGTCGCCTCTAGACGCCGACAGTGCGGCCGCGTTGATGGGGCGGGAAGGGGGCTGCTGGAACGGGTCGCTCCCGGGCGGGGAGTGCAATCTACGAAAATGCGGCTGGGACCTGTCCCAGCCCGGGCGCGCGCCCTCTTGTCTTGGGTTAGGGGGCTGGAAAGCCGAGGAGGGGTAGGACTCCCCATTCTTGGTCCCACGCTGAGCAGAGGCTGCGGGGATTGGGGTGTCGCATGAGACGGAGGGGCGACCTGGAGAGAAGACACCTCCGGGTGTGGACGCCACTGGGATTTGCATCTCGCCTCTTGGAGGTTTTCACCTTGGGAAAGCAGCTGGCGGGCGCACCCCAGGTTAGGGTGTCTTTTGCTGGCGCGCAGTTCCTGTCCCTCGGCGTTCTCCTCCCCTCGCAGGAGTGGACCAAATGCATTGTTCAGCTGGGTCATCTCCTTGCTACCCAGCATCCCGCGGCGCCCACATGTGGAGTCGTTTCCAGGTGTGCTGAGAGGCGAGGGGAAGGCCACTCACAGCTGGACAGCCAGGGCCCCTTTCTATAGGTGTTGGGATCTGGGCTCTTTTTCCAGCCCCTCGGTGAAGCCTTGTACCCTGGGGTGCCCTATCTCCTGCGGGCTGAGGGCTTCAGAGACTATTTTCCCTATTTTGAGACCTTGGTGACAGGACATGGTGCCTTTCAGGCAGGGTTGACTCTGGGTGGAGAACTAGGGCCAAGTGAAGGAGGTCAGAGAGCAGATCCAAAGTTGGAGTAGGGTGGGAAGGGCGGCAGAGGATTTCTTTCTGGAGCTGGTTCCCACAGAACGGGGAGCAGCAGGGGAATTCCCCTCCCCCACCCCACCACCACCTCCTCCACCTACAGCGCCCTGGTCATGCACTCAACAGATGTCTGTCTAGCCCCCACTATGCACCAGGCACTGGACTGGGCAGCAGGAATTTGGTTTACAGGAAGATTAGGACTCAGAGAGCATAAATCACTGGCCCAGGGTGACTCAGTCTGTCCATGTGAAAGTGAACTTGGTGATTTCCAAGTCTATGGCTTGGTCAGTACAGAAGGAGTGGTGTCCTGCTTTGGAGAGAAGACCCCGCAGCATCCTGGCCCTCCTGCTTCATTGTCCCTGGCCAACAGGTGCCACAACGTTGTGACAGCTGTAGGAGCCTGGCCAGCTCATGGGAGCATCCTTGGAAATGTTCCAGAAGCCCCTGTGGGAGCTGATGTGTTGGGGGCTGGAGGATGTGACTGGGCAGACAAAGAGGCCCTGGCCCCTGGGCAAAGGGCAAAGGTGCACATTCTTCTTGAGAGTTCTGGACAGTCTGATCCATCCTATGCTGTCCTTCCTGACAGCTGGGCAGCCACGGAGGGTTTCCCAACTTACAGATCTCAGGTCTCCTCTCCCCGCATCCCGGGTAGTTCCATCTGGTTAGGCAGTGGGTCTGGTTGGCCTATACTTGGGGAACTCAGGGAATGTGACCAGATGTTCTCCTGCATGTTGCCCACTGGTTGTGCCTCCTTCCAGGATCCAGGACGGTGAGTCAACTCTCCCCAAGGATGTGGGCAGGGTGCTAGGCTCACTGACCCTGAAAGAGCAGAAGGTCTGGACCCTCACCCCTCGCACCTCCCTCACACCACTTTTCTTGCAGACATCACCATGGCAGCCCAGAATGGAAACACCAGTTTCACACCCAACTTTAATCCACCCCAAGACCATGCCTCCTCCCTCTCCTTTAACTTCAGTTATGGTGATTATGACCTCCCTATGGATGAGGATGAGGACATGACCAAGACCCGGACCTTCTTCGCAGCCAAGATCGTCATTGGCATTGCACTGGCAGGCATCATGCTGGTCTGCGGCATCGGTAACTTTGTCTTTATCGCTGCCCTCACCCGCTATAAGAAGTTGCGCAACCTCACCAATCTGCTCATTGCCAACCTGGCCATCTCCGACTTCCTGGTGGCCATCATCTGCTGCCCCTTCGAGATGGACTACTACGTGGTACGGCAGCTCTCCTGGGAGCATGGCCACGTGCTCTGTGCCTCCGTCAACTACCTGCGCACCGTCTCCCTCTACGTCTCCACCAATGCCTTGCTGGCCATTGCCATTGACAGGTGAGGATGGTGGGTGGGGTGAGTGGTGGGGCTGGGCCAGGCTGTCTCTTTCCTCATTTAGGCTCTGACAGGCTGACATTGCTCCAGATAGGAATGCTCACCAATCTTTGGAGGGCAAGAGGAGGTCTTGTTTCTCCAGTTGAGTTCTGTTCCCCCAGATGTGAGCAAGACTGGGGCTGCTGAGTGGCCCATCTCTGGGCCATGCCCCCAGATACCACATGTGCTTCAGATACAGGCATGCCACATGACAGTATGTGGCACCAACACAAAGGGAAAGCAGAAAGGGCAGGCAGCTACTACCTAGAAGCCACATGAGAGTTAACTAGGGCAGCTTCCAGTCAGGAAAACATGTACTAGGCTTTTCCTGTAGCCACCCTCCAGGTGGAGATGTGAAACATTTCCATCAGCTAGAGAACCTTCTGTGCTCCTCACCAGTCAATCCTCCCCCACCAGGCAACCACCAATCTGATTTCTATCATTACAGTTCAGTTTCACCTGTTCTTTAATGTCATAAAAAAACATAACGTATGTGCTGTTGTTTCTGATAGACTTTGTTGCAGAGCTCATTTTAAAATAAGATAACAGGGTTTGTTTGTGCAAAAGAGGAAAGGACACGCTTGCTTTTGCTTTTCTGCATATGTTGGTGTGCTCATTTGCATACATTTGCATGAGATATTTCCAGAAGTCCTTGCTCTATTTTATTTTTTCCTTTCCTTTATGTATTTATTATTTTATTTTTTGCTTTTATTATTTTTAATTGACACATAATAATTGTAAATACTTAATGGCATACAGAGTGATATTTCTATGCATGTATGTATACAATGTGTAATGATCAACCAAGGTAATTAGCATATCCATCACCTCAAATGTTTATCATTTCTTTGTGTTGGAAACATTCAAAATCCACTCTTCTGGCTATTTGGAAATTATATAATAAATTGTGGTAATTATATTCACCCTATAGACCTGTAGAACACTAGAACTTATTCCTCGTCACCAGCCCTTGCTCTATTTTAAATTTATAAAGTAAAATGTATAATAGCAGTTTATGACAAATCTTACACACATTTTGTTTATGTGAACAGTTGCAGGCCAGCATCGGGCCATCACTGGCTCTGTTCGAGGGGGCAGTGGTCACCTTCTCTTGGTTGCTGTCCACCATTGTAAGCTGTGCTCATTAGGATGATCTGCTTAGTCATCTTTTTTCCTTTCATCTTTTCAACTCTTAAATTTTTCCCCTGTTCTCAGTGCTGCTTAGATTTTTTCTCTTTATTCAGCCAGTTTAATATTTTTCATTTTAGTAATAAAATACACAGACGGGTGTAGGAAGCATCCTCCTTCCTTTGTATAACATAATTTCTGCAGGAAAAACGATTTTGCTACAACTCAGGCTCACCAGCCCTGAAACCATCCCTTATGAAATGTGTACCTATCAACCAACTGCACACAATTCTCCAGGGAAAATGGTGCAAAGTATCATTTGATGGAAAGACACAAAGTCAGCCCGGGTGCGGTGGCTCACGTCTGTAATCCCAGCACTTTGGGAGGCTGAGACGGGCAGATCACCTGAGGTCAGGAATTTGAGACCAGCCTGGCCAGCATGGTGAAACCCCTTCTCTACTAAAAATACAAAAATTAGTTGGGCGTGGTGGCGGGTGCCTGTAATCCCAGCTACTTGGGAGGCTGAGGCAGGAGAATCACTTGAACCTGGGAGGCGGAGGTTGCCGTGAGCCAAGACTGCACCATTGCACTCCAGCCTGGGTAACAAGAGCGAAACTCTGTCTCAAAAGATACAAAGTCAGATTCCTGGGCTCCACCCCACCCTCTTGAGTGGGAATCCCTTGGGCAAGGTCCCAGGAATCTGCATTTTTATCTAATTCCTTGAGTGATTCTGATGCTCACTAAAGTGAGAGTATATTAGTCAGGGTTCTCTAGAGGGACAGAACTAATGGAATATAAATATATATAAAAGGAAGTTTAGTAAGTATTAACTCACATGATCACAAGATCCCACAATAGGCCATATGCAGGCTGAGAAGAAAGGAGAGCCAGTCCGAGTTCCAAAACTGAAGAACTTGAAGTCCAATGTTTGAGGGCAGGAAGCATCCAGCATGGGAGAAAGATGTAGCCTGGGAGGCTAGGTCAGTCTCTCTTTTCACATTTTTCTGCCTGCTTATATTCTAGCCAAGCTGGCGGCTGATTAGATTATGCCCACCCAGATTAAGGGCAGGTCTGCCTTTCCCAGCCCACTGACTCAAATGTTAATCTCCTTTGGCAATGCCCTCACAGACACACCCAGGATCAATACTTTGTATCCTTCAATCCAATCAAGTTGACAATCAATATTAACCGTCACAGAAAGTAAGCACTGTTCCCATTCCCCTTGTCCCACTGAAACCTTTGTCTTTATAATGCTGGTTTGGTTTGGTTTCATTTTTTGTAGCACTGGAGTTTCTTGGGAAGCAATCACCTTGTTACAACACCACAGACAACAGAGTGGGTCCTTTTCCACCCCAAACCAACTCTGCCCCAACCAGCTTCCCAGCTCCATCAGCAGTTCCATCATTCTCTCAGCCGTCCAAGCAGGGAAAAGTTACCATCATCCTTACCCTTTCTCCCTATCCTGCCTCCACTCACCCCACCCCATGTGTTCAGCAATACACCAAGTCATGGCAGCTCTCCTTCCAGCTTTATCTCTTAGCAAGTCATAGCTGGGCCATCATAATGCTCTTCTAACCTGTCTTTTCACTCCCCGGGGGCTCCTGACTGTCCCCTGAAATCCATACTCATCCATATTAAGCATAGGAATATCATCATTGATGGATCTTCCTGAAACATTTCATTGCTTACAAAATATCTAGAAATTCAAGTGCTTACGGAATACATGTCAAATCCTGAGCCTAGCATTCCAGGGCGCTTGTAATCTGATATCAATCTTTAATTTGCTGTCTTTCTAAATTCATGCTATGTATGGAGATACTGATAGTATTTTCCAGAAGACAATGTGTTTTAAGCACAATAACGATGTTTTCTATCTTTCTCCACAGTGCCTAGCACAGGGACTTATATCTGAGTCTTAGCTTGGGTTACTCCCAAATCAGACTCTGAGACTAAGATTTATGTGCAGGTAACACCCAAGAAGTAATTAAGCAAGCTTTCACTGTGGCAACTAGAGCATATTCCTGCTGAGGGACTAGTGGAGCCAGCATAGATCACAGCTCTACAGAGAGTTCTTCCAGAGGTGGGAGGTCATTGATGAGGGCTGCTCTGGAAATGCTGTACAGGTGGCAGGTGGTAGGATAGGGAGAAAGAGTAAGGATCCTCTTCTCTGATCAGGTTCTAAACTAATTGAAAAAAATAAAGCAAAATGCTAAGAAAGATGGATGGCCAAACTCTCACCTTTGCCCCAATTATGCTGATTTTGGAGAAGGGAGCTTTTATCACTGGGCACAGTCAATCCCAGAATTAGATAGGCTTGTGTTCCCTAACACATGTAGGGTGGGAGAAGCACAGTCCTCCCTGTCCTACTACAGAGAAATATCAGAAGGGCCACCCAATGCTGTTTCCATGTGCCACAGCCAGGTCCATCCAGAGAGAAGCCCAGAGGAGGTACTATTTCAAGTCATAGAGACCCTAGAAGGAAAGGATTGGCCCAAAGAAACACATCCAAGCAGACAGATGAAAACAAAGACCTTGCCGGTGTCCCTCTTGCAAATGAATGAGTCATAGGAAATGATTAGCTTAAACAATGTGCAATAGCTTTCAACATCCCTTATGTATGTTTACCTTCTCAGAACATGACAAAAAGCCTTAGAGGTTGTCAGTGATCTTATTAATTATCCCCACTTCACAGATGAAGAAACTGAGTCCCCCAACCAAAAGTGATTTATCCAAGTACACAGTTTGAGTCCAGGTACACAGCTGGAATCCAGGTCTTCTGAATAACTCCTAGGCCAGTGTTATTGCTTTCTGATTTATTTGATGACAACTCTGAATTTTGGAACATCATACAATGAGAAAGATGTTATTGGAGGAAAAAGAATGAGAATTTAAGAATTGACAACAGAATAAGGAGAAATGTGGAAATTCCCTTTGGCATGGGTTATTGAAATACTTTTTATGGTGGAACCAGATTGAGAGAGAGCTATAAAGTTGTGAATTTGTTCTGCATTATCTAAGCCCTTTGGATTCAGTATGGGAGGCAGAATAATGTCCCTCACCCAAGGATAACCACATCCTAATCCCCAGGATCTATAAACACATTACATTACATGCCAAAGGGGAATTGAGGTAGCAGATGGAATTAAGGTTGCTAATCAGCTGATCTTAAAATATAGAAATTATACTGGATTATCTGGGTGGACCCAATGAAATCACAAAGATCTTTAACTGTGAAAGAGGGAGGCCAAAGAGTTTGTGTCAGTGATACAATGCAAGAAACTCGATTGACCCTTGCTGGCTTTGGAAAGGGAAAAAGTCATCAGCCCTGGAATGCTGGCATCCCTAGAAAAGGCAACAAAAATAGATTCTCCCCATCAGCACCTCCAGAAAGAAATGCTGCCTTGCCAACATCTTGATTTTAGCACAGTGAAAACCATGTCAAACTTCTGACCTCCAAAACCGTAACATAATACATTTGGGTTGTTTCAAGCCACTATGTTTGCGGTAATTTGTTACAAGCAGCAATAGGAGACTAATTCACTCAGTCATCATGAAGAGTCAGTGACTGTGAGATGTCCCTGCCCCCAACAAGAATGAGCCTGCCCATTTGTTCCACTCTCCAGCCCTGTGAGCCTTGTACCATGCAGGCAGGTCATGCAGGTTAATTTGGCAAGGTCAGGTCACATGCATGGCTGAAGAACCCCAGCAACCACTGTGCATATTAATATACCTAGCTAGGGTGCAGCCAGCGGTTGGGGTAGGATCCAGCTTCATCCTAGATCTTCAGAAAGTCAAAAGCTGGGGAGAGCCATGCTGCTTTGGTATCTCCTCTAATGCAATTCAATGATCAGAGCCACTGGCAGGCAGGGGGCAGGCAAGAGAAGATAAAACAACTTTGTGGCAGAAATATTGACAGGGACAGGAAGAAATAACATGACAGAAGGCCTTCTTAGTCCAGTCAGAGACTTGGAAAGAGTGACTGAAGGGTCTGGTCACAAAGGAAAGGTAAGTGGGATAGAATTTTCTATAGGCAGCTGCTGAGACCAGCTCGGTCGGGGAGACCCTACCCCAGCAGCGCTAGAGGAATTAAAGACACACACACAGAAATATAGAGGTGTGAAGTGGGAAATCAGGGGTTTCACAGCCTTCAGAGCTGAGAGCCCCGAACAGAGATTTACCCATGTATTTATTAACAACAAGCCAGTCATTAGCATTGTTTCTATAGATATTAGATTTAAAGTAGCCCTTATGGGAAATGAAGGGATGGGCCGAAATGAAGGGATGGGCCGAAATAAAGGGATGGGTTGGGCTAGTTATCTGCAGCAGGAGCATGTCCTTAAGGCACAGATCACTCATGCTATTGTTTGTGGTTTAAGAACGCCTTTAAGCGGTTTTCTGCCCTGGGCGGGCCAGGTGTTCCTTGCCCTCATTCTGGTAAACCCACAACCTTCCAGCGTGGGCATTATGGCCATTATGAACATGTCATGGTGCTGCAGAGATTTTGTTTATGGCCAGTTTGGGGGCCAGTTTATGGCCAGGTTTTGAGGGGGGGGGGCCTGTTCCCAACATGTCCCCCTTATTTGATTTGCAAATCGATAAAAGCAAAGGCAGCTTTGTCACAGTGAGCTACTTCTCACAGGAGTCAGGATCCACATCTGCAGACTATACAAAGACAAACAGCACAGATTAAAAGCACAATCATTGAAATCACAGAGCTTCCAAGTGTTTTTATCCATTTTAATGGGTTACTAGCTGCTAACCTGTCTGCAGCTCCTTTAAGCACTCCAGTTCCTGGCATTAAGGTCAGGTGTGGGATGCTTTAAATATTTGTTCTTTAATTTTGCAATATCCAAAGACAAGTTTGTAGAGTGTCTTTCTAGATGCTTTTTTATTATTTCCCAAATTTTGATCTTATTAAGAGCTATTAATAGTTTCCACAAATCTTTATGTTTAGCTTCTACAGCAGGCCATATTATTTGAGGTTGAGGTGCCACTATACCACCAAGGTTCCAGATAATAGGAACTCTTGCCATACTTCTTGCCATTTCTACCATCTGACCATTTTGTTCAGACCAGCTGAACATAGTGTGGCCATGGCACGCAGACTGAGAGGTGCAATTCAAGCTAAACATCCCCTAAGGGGACCAATCAATAATGATTCCATAGGATTCGTTGCGCAGCACCTCTGCCCGTTCTGCAATGCAATCTTCCTAAACAAGTATGTTCATTATTTCTGGCCAGGTTCTATTTTGTTTACAAGTAGTTTTTTGAGGGTGGTATGCCTCAATTATAGGAGCAGATTTATTACGGTAAATACTGAGATCAGAAAGCATGTGTAACTGCATCATAGAGTGATTATATCCAGGCATTATTGCCAGCCAAGATTGATAAATATGCCCAAGAAGTATAATTGTTCTCTGTGTCAGCCGTTGTTGAAGGAATACTCATGGCAATGGTGATCACCGCTATCATAGCTACCATTAAATTACTCATTGTAACTGGTTGTCCTGCTTTCCTCAGGTTTTCTTCCACCATCTATGACAGCTTCTTGATCTGTCCCCAGGTGGGTGGCTGTGTTCAACGGGTGTTGCTTGTGACAGTTGGGGTCCTCCTCAGCATCAGTCTCGACATGACTGCAAATGGGGGGTCCTCGGGATCCTCCTGGAATCTCTTCCTCAGCATCTGGCTCATGATAAGGTTTCAGGTGTCTTGATGGTATCCAAATTGGCTGTTGATTTTGGCCTGGAGAAACACAAGCATAACCTCTACCCCAAGTTATTATTTTACCTATTTCCCAACTTTTTGTTATTGGATCTCTCCACCAAATCAGTTATTCTGCTTTTGTCTTTGCAGCTGGTTTCTGTAGGTGCTGTTCAGCTGCTGATAACATCTGGCCTTTGGGCAGGCTCAAAAAATGTAAAGTTAATAATGCTAGATTCAGTTGTGTATGGGCTGTCCTGTAATCCCTATTTCTCCCCCTTTTTTGTTTTTGTCATCAGTTGTTTATCTCTATGAAACAGTAACTGAGCATTTTTAATTAACGGTGTGGAATGAACCATGTATGAAGAATCAGAAATCACATTAATAGGCATATCAAAAGCAGTCAATACCTCAATTACAGCTACAAGCTCCGCTTTTTGAGCTGAAGTATAGGGCGTCTGGAAAACTTTACTTTTCGAGCCAGAATAAGAAGCTTTACCATTACTAAACCCATCTATAAAACAATGAAAACACTTAACAGGCTGCAGGTTGTTTACTGCAGGAATTGTAAATGCAAACCATTCACAGTCTTGCTCAGCTAAAGGGATAGTAAAGAAACAGTCTTTTAAATCTATGACTATCAAAGGCCAATTTTTGGGGATTATAGCAGGAGAAAGCAATCCTGGCTGTAATGCTCCCATAGGTTGTGTAACTGAATTGATGGCTCTTAAATCAGTTAACATTCTCCATTTACCTGATTTTTTTCTTAATTACAAAAACTGGAGAATTCCAATGGGAAAATGTTGGAGCTATGTGCCCATTTTCTAATTGTTCAGTAACTAATTTCTCTAAAACCTCCAGTTTCTTTTTACTTAGTGGCCATTGTTCTATTCAAATTGGTTTATCTGTTAACCATTTTAAAGGTATAGGTTCTGGAGGCTTAACATTGGCCGCCATCAAAAATGTTATCCTAGTCTTTGGTGGGAACTTTGTCTTTCCAATTAAGTGGTTCTTTCAAATCTTGCAAATTTTTTCCTAGTCTCATACCAGGGACATACCCCATTTCATGCATCATATGTTGATTCTGAGGGCTATATAATTGTTCTGGAATTAGAACTTGTTGTAATAAATCTCTCCCCCATAAATTTATAGGTACAGAAGTTATAATTGGTTGAATAGTCCCAGGTTGTCCATTGGGCCCTTCACAATGCAAAATATAACTACTTTTATATACTTCAGGGGCTTTACCAACTCTAACTATGTTAAATTGAGTGGGTTGAATTGGCCATGCAGACAGCCAGTGCTGTAGAGAAATGATTGAAATATCCGCTCCTGTACCTACCAAACCTTTAAATTTTTTTTTCCTGAATAGTTATTTCACAGGTAGGACGTTTATCAGTAATTTGATTTACCCAATAAGCTGCTTTGCCTTGTTTATTTGTGCTTCCAAATCCTCCTGTTCATTTAATTTCACTTTTCCCCATTTCCACATACGGCACAATCAGGAGCTGTGCCAGACGCTCTCCTGGCTCTGCTTTGCAGGGAACAGAAGCAGATATAACCATTTGAATTTCCCTATTGTAATCTGAATCAACGACTCCTGTATGTATTTGTACCCCTTTTAAATTTAAGCTAGACCTTCCTAGAAGTAATCCTATCGTCCCCGCTGGCAAGGGTCCACAGACTCCTGTTGGGACCTTTTGCGGGGGTTCCCCAGGCAGAAGACTCACAGCTTTTGTGCAGCATAAATCTACTGCAGCACTACCAGCTGTGTCAGGGGACAGACATTGTACAGGGGTCAGGGAATGGCCTGAGCTGGAAATGCCCCAGTTTAGAATGGGGCCCGGGACGGGCCGCTCATGGTGTTTTCCGAAATCAGGTTCCCATCTTTCTCAAACTTAGAGTGAACTGATTAGCCCAATGTTTTCCTTTTTTACATTTTGGACATATTTTGGGCTCAGCAGTTTTCTTTTTTCCCCTATCTGGTGGCCTGACTCACTGATTTTTTCTACATTCTTTTTTAGTATGACCATGCTTCCCACAGTTAAAACAAACTCCAGGAAATAGAGTATTTCCTTTATCCACTCTCAGTCCTGCCACTGCCTGTGCTAGCAGAGTAGCCTTATGCAGATTACCTCCGATACCATCACAGGCCTTGATATAATCAACTAAATGTGCTTTCCCTCTGATAGGTCGCAGAGCAGCCTGGCAATCGGGATTAGCATTGTCGAAAGCTAATAACTGCAACACTCTATCCTGAACAGCCGAATCTGCAATCATCTTTTTAAGAGACTACTGTAACTGAGCTATAAAATCCACGTATGGTTCTTTTGGTCCCTGTTTTATAGCACTAAAGGAAGGGTATTGTTCTCCACATGAAGTGATTTTTCCCCAAGCTCTAATGCACACTCCTCTAAGCTGTTCTATGGCATCATCCTGCATGACCACTTGTGCATCTAAACCAGCCCAGTCGCCAACCCCCAAAAGTTGGTCTGCAGTTATATTAATTTGAGGATGGGCCTGGGCATTGCAAGCAGCCTGAATGGAAGCTTCATCTGCCCACCAAGTTTTAAATTGTAAGAACTGAGCAGGAGTTAGACGAGCTCGAGTAAGAGCATCTCAGTCAGTAGGAATTCATCATCCGACTGGAAAGAGCAGCATTCTTTAACAGTCCCACTACAAAAGGAGAACCTGGTCCATACTGATTTATAGCTTGTTTAAATTATTTGAGTAATTTAAAAGGAAAAGGCTCAAATGTAGCTATAATATTTCCCTGTTGATCTGGGGCGGTGTATTCTAACAGGGAACTGCCAAGCCTCTAAATCACCCTCTCATCTAGGTTGCTGAATTCCTGCCTGAATAGAACTAAGAGCAGTCGCTTGAAGTGCTGCTCGAATAGTCACTGGGGCAACTACTTTTCACCCAGTGTCCTCCAGAAAAGAAAGATCTGGAGGGTCTTTTTCTTCAAAATAATAAGGAGGGGGTGCAGAAGAGTAGGGATGAACCTCTCCCTCCTTTGCCGCTTTAGCTTTAGCTGGCAAATAAACCTGCTCTGTAACCTCTTCTGTTACTTCGTTATACTCTCCTTCCTCCTCATCATCAGTGTGAAAAAGTTCCAAGGTGGAACGAACCAGAGCCCACACTTGTCCCATTGTTACGCTGACGCCAGTTTATGGCCAGGTTTTGGGGGGCCTGTTTACCAGCAGGCGGCATCCTGCTCTTGTTCTCACCTGACTCAAGCTCCAGGTATGAAGTACACGTTCATTTCCAGGGTTGATTTGTTTCCTCCCTGTCCTTCATGCCTCTTATCTTCATCTACCATATCCCAAAGCATTCCTCCCCTACCCCCTACCCCAACCATAAGATGCATAGAAATGATGCCAGGGCACCAGGTGTCTAAATAGGTGTCATTAGGTCTCTCTGGAAAGAAAGTATTCAATCCACACAAATGAGCTCATTTCCCACAAAGGGCTCCAATCTGTCTCCAAGACAGTGTGGCTCATTGGAAAGGGCAAGGATAAAGACTTCACACACCTTCTCATTTGAGCACAAGATGGCCCAGGGAGGTGGGAGCATAAGCTTTGTATCAAGAGCCTGGATTCTGGTCCCTGCATGATGTGAGCTTGGGCAAGGCATTTACTTTTCATTAGAGTCCTTAGATTTCACTACAAGCTTACCTTGACTCTCCTGCCTCTGAAATGCAGGATGACAGCTCATGGGAGGGGAAGCAAATTCTTGCCAACTGCCCTGAGAAAGGCTCCCACCTCTGTCTGGGGGCCATAAGCCCTTCCTTCACCTAAACCGTGAGCTATTTGGAATGAAGAGCTCTGAGAGTATTGTATGTTCTTGGGCAGAATGACAAGATGGAAACCCAAGGTGGTATAATAGGATGCTTAAGAATAATAACAGGACACAAGTATTTATTGAACGCCTACTATACACAAAGCATTTTACAAAAATTGCCATATTTAGTGTTCACAGTAGCCCTGCAAAGTAAGTATCATCTTATTCCAGGTTGCATTTGAGGAAATAAATCTCAGGGAGATTGAATAATTCATCTCAGACCCCAAAGCCAATCCAGGGAAAACCCAGGATTTATTCAGCCTGTTTGACCCAAAGCCTGTGCTGTTTTCACTAAAACACTTCACTATGCCAAATGATGTTGCTAAAATAAGATGAAGCTTGTTAAAGCTGGATAACAAGTACATGAGGATTCACTGTGCCACTGCTTTAGTGTATGTTTGGGGTTAGTTACAAACTAACGTTTCCACGTATTCATCATTACTACTGTTGGCTTCCCTCCCCCACCAGATATCTCGCCATCGTTCACCCCTTGAAACCACGGATGAATTATCAAACGGCCTCCTTCCTGATCGCCTTGGTCTGGATGGTGTCCATTCTCATTGCCATCCCATCGGCTTACTTTGCAACAGAAACGGTCCTCTTTATTGTCAAGAGCCAGGAGAAGATCTTCTGTGGCCAGATCTGGCCTGTGGATCAGCAGCTCTACTACAAGTCCTACTTCCTCTTCATCTTTGGTGTCGAGTTCGTGGGCCCTGTGGTCACCATGACCCTGTGCTATGCCAGGATCTCCCGGGAGCTCTGGTTCAAGGCAGTCCCTGGGTTCCAGACGGAGCAGATTCGCAAGCGGCTGCGCTGCCGCAGGAAGACGGTCCTGGTGCTCATGTGCATTCTCACGGCCTATGTGCTGTGCTGGGCACCCTTCTACGGTTTCACCATCGTTCGTGACTTCTTCCCCACTGTGTTCGTGAAGGAAAAGCACTACCTCACTGCCTTCTACGTGGTCGAGTGCATCGCCATGAGCAACAGCATGATCAACACCGTGTGCTTCGTGACGGTCAAGAACAACACCATGAAGTACTTCAAGAAGATGATGCTGCTGCACTGGCGTCCCTCCCAGCGGGGGAGCAAGTCCAGTGCTGACCTTGACCTCAGAACCAACGGGGTGCCCACCACAGAAGAGGTGGACTGTATCAGGCTGAAGTGACCCACTGGTGTCACACAATTGAAAACCCCAGTCCAGTACTCAGAGCATCACCCACCATCAACCAAGTTCATAGGCTGCATGGGAAATGACATCTGTGTTCATGCCTCCCCCGTGCCCTCAAGAAGCTGAATGCTGCAAAGTCGTAACATACAATGAGACTAGACATGAACCAAATCAGCTGACATTTACTGATATCCGCTCGACACCTACTGTGTCCACAATCCCAACAAGGAGATTAGACACAAGGAGCAGCAACTGACATGGACTGAACATGTACTGTGTGCAAACCACACCAATGAGATTAGACAGGGACAGCAGGAGCTGACATTTACTCTTCACCTACTGTAATAAAAAACACTTGATTTGATTACAATCAAAAACATATAAAAAACATAACAAAGTAGCAGAAGCTATTGGAGTTTCCAAGCTATCTCCAGATATATAGATAGTTCACCCTCCATCTTCCCTAATTCTGTATCTTACCAGTGCAGGAATATCAAAAGGCTATAGGCCAGGCATGATGGCTCATGCCTGTAATCCCAGCACTTGGGGAGGCTGAGGCACGTGGAACACTTGAGGTCAGGAGTTCAACCCAGGCTGGCCAACATGGTGAAACCCTGTCTCTACTAAAAATACAAAATTAGCTAGGCGTGGTGGCGGGCGCCTGTAATCCCAGTTACTCAGGAGGCTGAAGCAGGAGAATAGCTTGAACCTGGGAGTTGGAGTTTGCAGTGAGCTGAGATTGCTCCACTGCACTCCAGCCTGAGTGACAGAGTGAGACTCTGTCTCAGGAAAAAAACAAACAAACAAACAACAAAACAACAACAACAACAACCAACGGCTATAGAAGAAGACTCTTAGACACAATGGAAATGTAACGATAAGTTTGTCAGTGCGTGGTTTACAGCATCATGGGAGGTGTGTTACAGCCATCATACTGAACTTTCCCACCCACCTCCTACTGCCTCCCAGGGCATTCTCTAGGATTTTGGCTTCAAGAAAAAAAAAATTCTTATAGTCAGCCCAGCCTTATGTGGTTATCCACAATGGTGTAATTTCAAAGGAAAGAACCTAAAAATCACTTTCCCACTGATGCTTGAAAGCTTATCATTTTATTTGGGTGGAGATGGGTAATCCTGAGGTGTCAATTTTTGCCTCCTCAGTGCAAAGGATTTCAGTGGCTCTGGGGTCAGGGGGAAAGAGGACAGAGAAAAAAGTGGAGGTTGCCACTGGCAATGAACATAATCTCTGTGGGCATTTTGCTAAGGACTGGACCACTTTCTAGAACACTCCCTCTTTTACAAAAGGAACTCTACCTAGAATCCAAAGACCTGGGTTCAGGTCCTAACTCTAAGACTCAAGTCCTAAATTCATGATGTTTTCTCTCTGTGTCTCAGTTTTGCTTTAATGAAATGGCGATGATGAAAATATCCGCTCTTCATACCTTGCAAGACTGTTGGGAGAGCCCATTGAGGCCATGGTTTGTGAATGTGCTTTTCAACTGTGCACACGATAAGAATGGAGAAGTGATATTGAACAGTTTATTTGGAGGGAGTTTATTTGGAAACCCCATCCACTGTGATTTATTAGAGAAATACCCACACTTTTTCATCCCTGTTCTTTGGATGAAAGACTCCTGAAGACTTCACAGTGTACCTTGTCTACAGTGGGCCAAAAAGGGATCCCTGTTCTTGGTTATAATCTGGGAAATTTAACCTCAGATTCTCAGTGACCCCAAGACTCTCAGCATCCCTGCGGTCTTAGAAGTGTTGACAGTCCTCCCTGCATGTTGCAAAATAGCACCCTAGTGCTGCATAAATATCACTTCTGAATCTGTTTGTATTATACATTTGTGGTAACTGTAGGTACACGTCTTCATTTCTTCTTGATTCATTTTGATGTGGTAGCTATGCAAATGGTACCTGGTTTGGGACTGACCCAACCATATTTGACCAATTCCTAATTTTTTATAGACAAGGAATTAATTGTTTGCTTGTTTGATTGTTTCTATTATTTGTTGATTTGTTTCTCTGACTGAAGTTTCAACCAATATTTCTTTCTATCACCACCCAGCAGACTCACCTTCAGCCCAATCATTGTACTCTCAGAAAATGCAGGCCGGCATGGTGGCTCACATCTGTAATCCCAGCACTTCGGGAGGCCAAGATGGGCAGATCACCTGAGGTCAGGAGTTCAAGACCAGCCTGGCCAACATGGCCAAAAACCCCATCTCTAGAAAAATACAGAAATTAGCTGGCGTGGTGGCACATGCCTGTGGTCCCAGCTCCTCAGGAGGCTGAGGCATGAGAATTGCTTGAACCCCAGAGGCAGAGGTTGCAGTGAATTGAGATCACACCACTGCACTCCAGCCTGGGTGATAGAGCAAGATTCCATCTCAAAAGGAAAATAAAAGAAAATGCAAACACACTATAATATTAGCCTAAGCAAAACTGTTAATTCTGATTTACAAAAATTCTTACTTGCTTGGCTTTGAAATGCATTGTGTAATAATGCATTTCAAAGCCAAGCAAGTAACAATTTTAGGTTATGTACATTTCTATAAATATAATAATTGTATTTTTATTTATTATTCTATCCTGGCTCTTAGCCGAATCAGGAGATTCTTTAGGAATGGACCATGTACCAGTCAAGTCTGTCAGCAGGATTCATCACCCTGTTCCTTTTTGTCCTAGAATATACCAACTTCCTTTCATTGAAATTTAACTGAAAAAACTTTTGTAAATATCAGTGTGTATTTGTGATTTTCCAGTGATTAAAGTGTAATGTTGTTATCCAATTAAATAATTAACATGTGGAATTTAGTCACAGGTTTCAAGTGCTTTCTCTGCTGATCTTTTAAGCATGTTAGTATATTTAGATATGAGTGAAGTAATAGCTACCTAAACAGTCCCACCTTGAAACAGAGAAGGAACTTATTGAAGGCATTTTTAGAACAGTGGTAGCTCATAGCATCAATCAGCCTCCTCTCGGTTATGTCCTTCAAGCTAATGGCCCCGGAGTGTATTCATGCATGCAAATAAGCAAGGAATCACGGTCCTGGACTGATGCGATGCCTTCATTCTAAAACAGTCTTGTTTGTTCCAATGAAAGCTGCTGATTGCACCGTGACTATTCATCCCTCCAACTGGTAATAAATTCATTACACTTGTATTTAGTCTTTTCTTCTCAAGACTAATTAATGGTAAGCTTAAGACACTTTTAATATGCTAAGATGTACACATTTATGCCTATTATTATATACATTGAAAAATTAATCTCATTTAGCAAAACAGATCCATTTCCTCAGCCAGAATAAGAAAAAAGATGGCTCTGTAATGAAGCTATTAAAGCCTTTTCTATCAGCATTCAAAATTTAAAATAAGTTGCTTTACAGATTGAAGAAATCAAAAGATGGCTTCAGGCCCTCAGTCATGAGAAGCAATCCAGACTTAAAGAGGAAGAAAGAATGTGACATGTAGGAGGTAATTAGAAAACTTAAAGTGAGTTCTATTTCTACAGGAAAAATGATGGCTTTGAAACATATCCTTCCAATTTAACAGCTGTCTCTCCTTTGGCTCAAGAGGATGGGTGCGCGCGCATGCGCACACACACACACGCGCGCGCGCACACACACACACACACACACACACACACACACACACCACAGACCACAGACCAGGAAAGGCCTTATAGGGGCATATAATTCAACTCACTCCTTTCTTAGGTGAGGAGATCGGAGTTTCAAAAGGAAATGCCTTGCTTAAGGGTACAGCTAATGCTTGCTGGAGCCAAGATATTGCCCCAAGATTTTCACTCTGATGCAGCGAACTGCACTCGGGGACTGCACTCCTGACTCCTAAGGAGTGGACCCTCAGCTGGTTTCTGGCCTCCCGGCAGAATCTTAAACTGCAGAAAAGATACTGTTCCTCCCTCTGGCAGGCCAAGAGCACATCCAATCCAAGGGACCATAATTGAGACTCCAGGATTCCAGGGAAACCAGAGAGAATCACCCCAGAATCATCCTAGTGCTCCTGCCTTTCTTTTCTCCTATTGAGATAAATGGGCGTGGAGGGGCTCTTAACGCATTAGACTCGAATGCACATGGAGCTGTTTGCAAGTGATTCAGGAGCCAAATGGGAAAGCAGGTTGTGCTGAGAGGTAACCCGGCCCCAGGAAAAGCAGGTGGAGGGGAGGGGGTTTGCTCGCACTCCAAAACAAGGCAAGTACAGGGCCACCCACAACACAACGTGCAGTCTTCACCCAAGCCACTGCTGGCTGACTTAGCTGTGGTTGTGCTTTGTGTCTCCTAGCAGCCAAATGCCTTCTAAAGAAATAAACATCAAACTTTTAAAGAGTTCAAGTTGGTTTTATTCAGAAGTCTGACTGAGGACTATAGCCCAAGAGGAGTCTTTCAGAGAGGTTCTGTCAGACACCTCCAAAGCTATGTTTTAGTTCACAGTTTATATGCGGGTGATGAAGGTTTAGCACGTGTACAATCACATCAAAGCTTGGGTGCAAGAGTACATCTGGTTATAATTACAGAAGCATAATCATTAACCCTGTCAGATGTTATCTTACGTGCAGAAAAAGGCAAGGGCTAGGATCATTCATCTTTCGAGAAATATAGTGACTCAGGCAAGAAGCTTTGTGAAATTTTGCTGGCAAACAGAAATGAGCACACGTGGCTTCTTACATTTGCTACTTTATCTCACATGGTGATGTGAGGCAAATGCAGCAACTCCTGAGGTACACCAACCAGGGACACATCACCTCCTGGGATTGCTGATGCCGTCTTTTTATAATTTTAATTTTTGTGGGTACACAGTAGATGTTTGGCGCCCTTTTTTTTTTTGAGATGAAGTCTCGCTCTGTCACCTGGGCTGGAGTGCAGCGGCACGATCTTGACTCACTGCAACCTCAGCCTCCTGGGTTCAAGAGATTCTCCTGCCTCAGGCTTCCTAGTAGCTGGTATTACAGGCATACACCATCACGCCTAGCTAATTTTTGTATTTTTAGTAGAGGCGGGGTTTCACCATGTTGGCCAAGCTGGTCTCAAACTCCTGACCTCAAGTGATCCACCTGCCTTGGCCTCCCAAATTGCTGGGATTATAGGCATGAGCCACCACACCCAGCCTCATGCCCCACTAAATAGCAGCACAAACACAACTTTTATCTGTTTCTTTCCTGGCAGAAGTTTGGATAGCTGTACCCTAGGACATGGATACAGAAACCCTGAGTGTCCAGTGGCGGAACTACTATGTGAGGAACACATTTATTTAATCAACATACCTTTTGCTAAGCAAGGTCTTCACTTTCAGCCCTCGGCTGGGAGAAACCTCGCTGCTACATGGAGCAATTCATTAGCAAGGCAGCCTGGATTCCCATAGTAAATGTCTTTATTTCCTTCAAGCACAATTTAATCTGACTCCTCCAATGGTAGGAATATGACCACATTAATTGGCAAAGATCCCTACCCTGATCCTGCAAATGACTGCCTCAGAGGCTCTCTAGATCCATCTGCCTTCAATGTTTTACTGTTGAGTCCCTTTATCATTAGGCTATGGGTCATGCCAATAACTTCAAATGCAATATCAATAACAATAATAAATCTTGAGGTGGGGCATGGTAGCTCACACCTATAATCCCAGCACTTTGGGAGGCTGAGGCAGGAGAATCGCTTGAGGCCAGGAACCTTGGCAACATAGCAAGACCTGATCTCTACAAATAAAAAAATGAAAAAATTAGCCAGGTATAGTGACACATACCTCTAGCTCTAACTACTCAAAAGGCTGAGGTGAGAGGATTGCTTGCCCAGGATTTCGAGCCTGTAATGAGCTATAATCACACCACTGCATTCCAGCCTGAACAACAGAGTGAGACCCTGTATCTAAAAAGAAGGAAATAAACAATCTTGAAATCTTGAACCATGTACTACTATACAGATGTTCAAAGAGCTCATGAAACAGGACAATATTTTTCATTTTCCAATAATGGGTTTGGCACTTTCTTCAGATAAAACAAATTGAGGAGCGGGGGTTGTTTTACTGGAACTTAGAAAAAGTTATCACTAAATAGGGAAATAGGCAGAAGGCTTTGCCTCCAAGAAGCAGGGAGGAAACCCAGAGATGCCCTTAGAACAGAAAGCCATGCAGACTCAAGGTCGTTGTATCCCTTTGGTGACTTCTTAGACTGAATTTCCACATGTGAGTCACAGACTGAGACGAAAGAATTAGTCTCTGGAGTCTCACTTCATGCCAACCTCGGATTCCCAGCTCTGGAACCAGCTCCTAGGCAAGGTCCTAACATAAGCCTTTGCTAAACTCTGCTGCAGGCATGGCCCAGTGTGCAGAGAAAAGGGTCTTCTACTCACTCATGCAGCTTCTGCCCCAGATGCTGTGGAGAAACAAAGAGGATGGAGATGCAAGCCTGAATCTCAAGGTGGTTCCCGAGATAATGTGTGACTAATTCCACGTGAAAGTTGAGACACTGGAGAGACACTGCAAAGATAGAGTGAATTTAGACACAAATACCTTCTGGCTGTGGGGATCAGAGAAGGTTTGGGGCCATGGGGAATGGTGACAGGAGGGTACCCCGGGAAAAGGGAACAGAAGCAACAAAGACCTAGAGGAGGGAAAATTAGACGGACTGTAAGTGGAACAGCACGTAGCTTGGTTCGACAGGCACATCAGATTCAGAGTGTTTAGGGGAGAGCCGACTGGGCAGCTGATGAGCTGAATGAAGAAAGAGGCTGATGAGCTGAATGAAGAAAGAGGGGTGGGGACAGGCAGGATGGAAGGGCCTGGGGTCCCAGCCAGCCAGAATTGTGGTCAAATAATAATTCTTTATTTAACCATGTGAACTTGAACAGATTCTTTACCTCCTATCCAGACCTTACTTCCTCATGTGTAAAATAGGAATCGTAATAGCACTGACATCATAGGATTGCATGTGGATTAAATTATCTTAGAAAATGCCTAGCATATCATAAGCAGACAATAGTTATTTTTGTTATTTGTAATAGTTATTTTGTTATGTTTGAAATGATTACTTCCAGGAACAGAATTTCTCCTAGATGAATTCAGAACATTGTGTCACATGTAGTGGATATGTTTTGGGATTATCAAACCAGGGTATTTTTATCTCCTGTGGTCTCAAGTCCCTAGTCATCTTGGACTTCCTATCATACCTGGTCAACTCAAATCACAGAGTTTCTTCCATCATGTAAGAGAAGATGCTCTTCCACCATTAACACTGAACCAGGAAGCTTAATGGCCCTCCAAAGGAGGCTATGATGTAGAGGAAGTCCTTTCGATAGAGGAAGAAGAAAACAGAGCCCATCCCTTCTAGCCTCAGTGGATGGTGGAAAAGAAAGAAACAGAAAATACTTGAAGGCTGAATGCATTTGTCCTTGCTTTCTCCTTCAGGAGCTAAATCTAGGTGGTGGAGGTGGGGAAGCTATAGAAACATCTAAGTGTAGAGAAGCCTGAGATCATGGGGCAGGAAGGCAGCAATGGGATGCTTCCCTGGGCTCACTGAGGAAGGCCCCAGACCTCTAAGAGGAGCCCTGCAGGTGTTCTAGAGAAATGGTGATGCAGCCACGGGAGGAGGCAGGGAGATGGAGGAGTCTGACCAATGCCCTAATATGCCACAGCAAACGGTGAGGTGCAGGGATCCATAAATTCCTGTATGCCCTACTTAGGGGTGGCAGATGGGCAGAGGCCCAGAGTAAGGTCAAAGTGATCATTATGTGTGGTGCCTTTGCTATCAAGGACAAGTGGCCAGGACCACAGACTCCAAAAGACCAGATGGGGCACATTATTCCTCAGCAATCCATCCTGAAATCCATCCTGCAGCAGAGCCAGCAAGGATCCAGAATTCTAGAACAGTATATGATTCTGATCTTCCTCCTCCCCTCCTCCAACATGCAGTCCCTGGAAGCTCAACCATATTAGAAAGTAGCAAGGGCAGGGACTGAAACCCAAAAGATTTCACATGTCCAGAAATGAATGATTTCAACTGAAGGGAGTCTATGTACATTCAAAAAGACTGTATATCATGAATAGCTTCCCCACCTCCCATGAGATGGGGGCTCCTGAAGATTCAATCAATGGTAGAAAAATCAAGAAGGTACAGTTTCCCTGTACATCCAAGTATAGCGTCAGCCAACATTACACATAATTATGATGAGAGGCAGCCGGAGACTGGGGACTGGATTAGGGAGAAAAGAGGAAGAAAAGCTGTCACTCTGGAGATGTATGATAGAAACTGGAATTGTCACACAGGAATTCAGTCCTTCTAGATTCAGTCCTTCTAGAATGGTGCTTGAAACAAAAAGAAGTTGGTATGTCCTCACTGTGGACAGTACAGAGACGTGTCATTGATATAACATATGGTAGCCCTTTATATCAGCAGCTTTGCTATTTGTGACTTTGTGAGCAATCTCAAAGATCCATGATGTGGTCGGTCATTCGTTATTTTGCGAAGTGTAAGTTTCCATCTTGCACCCCAGCAGCTAAGCCTACCCAACAACAAAGCAGCCCCATTTCAATGAGGCTTTCTTGTTCTTTACTCAATATTGTATTTCATGCTCTCATGAAATAATAAAAAACTATATTCCTTTGTGGGGGAATATGCCCCTCAAAGAAAGCCAAGGGTTTTCTCGGAATGGAAGCTGGTGCTGGTTTTGAAAGTAAAGAAAGAAATGAAAATGTTATTAGGTGAAGAGTTAAGGACTCTCTAAGAAAAGGATAGATTTTAGCCCATCTAAAGTTTGGATAACTTTAAAGAATATAATGAATATTAAGAATCTCTAGTTCCAGTCCATGGCATGAGTGAATTTAATATAATACAATTTATAAATTATAAAAATGTAATTTAACATAAATAAGAAGTGATTCATACATTCATGCTCCAGCCTATAGAGGAAAAAAATACATCTTCTGGAAGAAATTGTGTGCCATGGTGGTGGTTATATAACTAGGGGTTTCCAGGGGAATTCTAAGTTCCAGGATGAGTCTTTCATGAATGTCAAGGCTCTATCTTTTCTAGAGTTCTGTTAAACTTTGGATATCTTCCCTCAAGAGAGCCCCGTGGGCAGAGCTGGTGTGAGACGAGACAATCCTGCCCCGCCGCCAGGATAATCAAGAGTTTTGGCCGGACCTTTGAGCATACACTGAGAGAGTGAGGAGCCAGACGACAAGCACACACTATGGCGCTGAAACGGATTAATAAGGAACTTAGTGATTTGGCCCGTGACCCTCCAGCACAATGTTCTGCAGGTCCAGTTGGGGATGATATGTTTCACTGGCAAGCCACAATTATGGGACCTCATGACAGACCATATCAAGGCGGTGTATTCTTTTGGACAATTCGTTTTCCTACAGACTACCCCTTCAAACCATCTAAGGTTGCATTTACAACAAGAATTTATCACCCAAATATTAACAGTAATGGCAGCATTTTTCTTGACATTCTAAGATCACAGTGGTCGCCTGCTTTAACACTTTCTAAAGTTCTTTTATCCATTTGTTCACTGCTATGTGATCCAAACCCAGATGATCCCCTAGTGCCAGAGATTGCACGGATCTATAAAACAGACAGAGATAAGTACAACAGAATATCTCGGGAATGGACTCAGAAGTATGCCATGTGATGTTACCTTAAAGTCAGAATAACCTGCATTATAGCTGGAATAAACTTTAAATTACTGTTTCTTTTTTGATTTTCTTATCCGGCTGCTCCCCTATCAGACCTCACCTTTTTTAATTTTATTTTTTTTTACCTCCCTCCATTCATTCACATGCTTATCTGAGAAGACTTAAGTTCTTCCAGCTTTGGACAATAACTGCTTTTAGAAACTGTAAAGTAGTTACAAGAGAACAGTTGCTGCCCAAGACTCAGAATTTAAAAAAAAAAAAATGGAGCATGTGTATTATGTAGCCAATGTCTTCACTCTAACTTGGTTATGAGACTAAAACCATTCCTCATTGCTCTAACATGCTGAAGAAATCATCTGAGGGGGAGGGAGAAGGATGCTCAGTTGTCACATCAAAGGATACAGCATTATTCCAGCAGCATCCATTCTTGTTTAAGCCTTCCACTGTTACAGATTTGAGGTTACATGATATACTTTATGCTCATAACTGATGTGGCTAGAGAACTGGTATTGAATTTATAGCATCAGCAGAACAGAAAATGTGATGTATTTTATGCATGTCAATAAAGGAATGACCTGTTCTTGTTCTACAGAGAATGGAAATTGGAAGTCAAACACCCTTTGTATTCCAAAATAGGGTCTCAAACATTTTGTAATTTTCATTTAAATTGTTAGGAGGCTCGGAGCTATTAGTTAATCTATCTTCCAATACACTGTTTGATATAGCACTGAATAAATGATGCAAGTTGTCAATGGATGAGTGATCAACTAACAGCTCTGCTAGTAATTGATTTATTTTTCTTCAATAAAGTTAAATAAACCAATGAGTTAGCTGCCTGGATTAGTCAGTATGGGAAATGATCTTTTATAAATGCAAAGCTGTTTTTTGTATATACTGTTGGGATTTGCTTCATTGTTTGACATCAAATGATGATGTAAAGTTCAAAAGAGTGAATATTTTGCCATGTTCAGTTAAAGCGCACAGTCTGTTACAGGTTGACACATTGCTTGACCTGATTTATGCAGAATTAATAAGCTATTTAGATAGCGTAGCTTTAAAGTGCTGCACATGATACTGGCAGCCCTAGAGTTCATAGACGGACTTTTGGGACCCAGCAGTTTTGAAACGTGTTTATGGAGTTTAAGAAATTTATTTTCCAGGTGCAGCCCCTGTCTAACTGAAATTTCTCTTCATCTTGTACATTTGACAGCTGAAAAAAAATAACATGGGAGTAATAATCGGTCAAAATTTGCAAAATAAAGTACTGTTTTGGTGTGGGGAAAAAGAAAAAAAAGAGAGCCCCGTGGGAAGATAGAAACGTACAGACCAGGTCATATTTTGATTAGATAGATTATAGCTGGTTGTAAGAATATTGATTGAAGAAACTGTGTTGATCTTAAGATTTTATCCATTACTTGACTAAACATAAAGAAGGGAAGCTTATCAAAGGTCTGGGTCCCCAAAGGGGACACAAGTCTACAGCAAACACTTCGATGATTTCCTCATCATTTAAGCTGTTAGCGCTACATCAGCTAGCAGGAAAGTTCACAGGAGGCTTCAAGCATGGTCTGGCAAACTCCCCCAAATGATAAGCTGAGGTCCTGCAGTTTGATTTTATTTCAGCAAATGGTCTTTGTGTTATGAAGAGCGAACTGTAGTTGAACTCTGGGAATTAGTCTTCCTCCTTCCTTTCATTATTATCCTCCCCGATGGTGAGGATCAACTCCACCATCGGCAGAGTTGTGGGAATGTCAAGGGAAAGAAGCAGGTGGGGAAGTCGGTGTTGACCCTGGAAGGCATCGCCATCCACAGTCACATTGTCTTTACAACAACATCTTTAAGAATTAACTAATTTATTTTTTAATTGGCTAATAAAAATTGCATATATTTATGGTGTACGGCATGATGTTTTGAAATGTGTATGCATTGTGGAATGGCCAAAGCAAGCTAATGAACATATGAATCCCATCACATGCTTGTCATTTTTTGTGGTGAGAAAACATAAAATCTACCCTTAGCAATTTCCAAAAATACAGTAAATTGTTATCAGCTCTAGACACCATGTTGTACCATCGATCTCTTGAACTTACTCTGCCTGTCTAATTGAAATTTTGTGCACTTTGACCATCATCTCCCCAACCATCACCTTTCTCCTCCCACTACCAGCACCACCTAGCTGCTAGTAACCATCATTCTATTCTCCATTTCTAAGAGTTTAACCTTTTTTTTTTTTTTTTTTTTTTGAGATGGGGTCTTCCTCTGTCACCCAGGCTGAAGTCCGATGGCACAATCACAGCTCACTGCAGCCTCAACCTCCCAGGCTCAAACGATCCTCCCACCTCGGCCTCCCAAGTAGCTGGGACCACAGGCCCATGCCCAGCCCATTTTTGTATTTTTGGTTGAGATGGGGCTTCACTATATTTCTCAGGCTGGTCTCGAACTCCTAGGCCCAAGCAACCCTCTCACCTCGGCCTCCCAAAGTGCTGGGATTATAGGCGTGAGCCCAGCTGAGTGTTTAGATTGCACATATTCACAACAGCATTTTTGTTCATGGTTAGGCCACTGCTTTCCAGGTCTCTGAGCATTTAATGAAGAGGCAGTCCCAGTTTCAGCTCCAAGGTTATTCTTATTATAGCACCATAAACACATATCATGCTTATGTTTCTGGTTCGCAGATTACTCTACCTGAGCCTGACTCCTTTGCTCCAAGCAGGGTTTAGCTAAGAACCTCTCTTAATATCAGGTACACAATTCTACTGAAGTGGCTCTGACTGAGTGAAGCTTCTATACCCCAGTGTGAAGGCTAAATAGTGACACCCTCCACAAATATGTCCACATCCTAATCCCCAGAACCTGTCAATATGTTACCTATGGCAAAAGGGACTTTACATGTGTGATTAAGGTAAGCATCTGAAGATGGGGAGATAATTCTGCATTATCTGGGTGCACCCATTGTACTCACAAGGGTCCTAATAAGAAGAAGGCAAGAATAATAGAGTTATTAAAAAAGAGAGAGAGCGATTGAGTGATAGGCTGGGTGCAGTGGCCCACACTTGTAATCCCAACCCTTTGGGAGGCCAAAGTGGGAGAATTACTTGAGGCTGGGAGTTTGAAGCCAGCCTGCTCAACATAGTGAGACCTCATCTCTATTTTTAAAATAAATAAATAAATAAATAGAAATGTTTAAAATATGATGAGATGTGATGGAAATGTGATGGCAGAAGCGGAAGTTGGAATGTTATGCTTTGAAAGAGCCACAAGCCAGGGAATGCACACAACTTCTAAAAGCTGAAAATCAAGGTAATCTCCAGAAAGAATTCAGCCCTGCGGACACCTTGATTTTATTTTATTTTTGAGACATTTCTATTTTTATTTTACCAATAACTTTTTTTAACCTTGAACTTAATTTTTTTCCATAGGTTACTCGGGTACAAGTGGTGTTCGGTTACATGAGTAAGTTCTTTAGTGGTGATTTGTGAGATTTTGGTGCACCCATCACCTGAGCAGTATACACTGCACCCTATTTGCAGTCTTTTAATCCCTTGCCCCCTTCCACCTTTCCCCCCACGTCCCCAAAGTCCATTGTATCATTCTTATGCCTTTGCATCTTCATAGCTTAGCTCCCACATATCAGTGAGAACATACAACGTTTGGTTGGCTTTCCATGCCAGAGTTACTTCACTTAGACTTCACTTAGAATAATAGTCTCCAATCTCATCCAGGTCGCTGCAAATGCCATTAATTCATTCCTTTTTATGGCTGAGTGGTATTCCATCATATATATATGTGGTATGTATATACGCATATAATCACACATACATATGTATATACCACAGTTTCTTTATCTACTTGCTGATTGATGGGCATTTGGGTTGGTTCCATATTTTTGCAATTGTGATTTTTGCTGTTATAAACATCCTCTGGGTAGATATCCAATAGTGAGGTTCCTGGATCAAATGGTAGTTCTACTTTTAGCTCTTTAAGGAATCTCCACACTGTTTTCCATAGTAGCTGTACTAGTTTACATTCCCACCAGCAGTGTAGAAGTGTTTCCTGATCGCTGCATTCATGCCAACATCTACTGTTTTTTGATTTTTTTTATTATGGCCATTCTTGCAGGAGTAAGGTGGTATAGAATTATGGTTTTGATTTGCATTTCCCTGATCATTAGTGATGTTGAGCATTTTTTCATATGTTTGTTGGCCATTTGTATATCTTCTTTTGAGAACTGTATATTCATGTCCTTAGTCTACTTTTTGATGTGATTGTTTTCTCTTGCTTATTTGTTTGAGTTCATTGTAGATTCTGGATATTAGTCCTTTGTCAGATGTAGAGATTGTGAAGATTTTCTCCCACTCTGTGGGTTGTCTGTTTACTCTGCTGACTGCTCCTTTTGCTGTGCAAAAGCTCTTTAGTTTAATTAAGTCCCAGCTATTTATCTTTGTTTTTATTGCATTTGCTTTTGGGTTCTTGGTCATGAAATCCTTGCCTAAGCCAATGTCTAGAAGGGTTTTTCCAATGTTATCTTCTAGAATTTTTACAGTTTCAGGTCTTAGGTTTAAGTCCTTAATCCATCTTGAGTAGATTTTTGTATAAGGTGAGAGATAAGAATCCAGTGTCATTCTCCTACATGTGGCTAGCCAATTATCCCAGCACCATTTGTTGAAAAGGGTGTCCTTTCCCCTCTTTATGTTTTTGTTTGCTTTGTTGAAGATCAGTTGGCTGTATGTATCTGGGTTTATTTCTGGGTTCTCTATTCTGTTTCATTGGTCTATGTGCCTATTTTTATACCAATACCATGCTGTTTTGGTGACTATGGCCTTACAATATAGTTTGAAATCAGGTAGTGTGATGCCTCCAAATTCGTTCTTTTTGCTTAGTCTTGCTTTGGCTATGTGGGCTATTTTTTGGCTCCATATGAATTTTAGAATTGTTTTCTAATTCTGTGAAGAATGATGGTGGTATTTTTATGGGGATTGTGTTGAATTTATAGATTGCTTTTTGCAGCATGGTCATTTTCACAATATTGATTCTACCCACCCATGAGCCTGGGATGTGTTTCCATTTGTTTGTGTTGTCTGTGATTTCTTTCAGCAGTGCTTTGTAGTTTTCCTTGTAGAGGTCTTTCACCTCCTTGATTAAGTATATTCCTAAGTATTTCCATTTTTTTGCAGCTATTGTAAAAGGAATGAGTTCCTGATTTGATTATCCGCTTGGTCGCTGTTGGTGTATAGAAGAGCTACTGATTTGTGTACATTAATCTTGTATCCGGAAGCTTTGCTGAATTCTTTTATCAGGTTTAGGAGATTTCTGGAGGAGTTTTTAGGGTTTTCGAGGTAAATGATCATATCGTCAGCAAAAAATGACAGTTTGACTTCCTCTTTACCAATTTGGATGCCCTTTATTTCTTTCTCTTGTCTGATTACTCTGGCTAGGACTTCCAGTACTATGTTGAAGAGGAGTAGCGAGAGTGGGCATCCTTGTCTTGTTCCCATTCTCAAAGGGAAAGCTTTCAACTTTTCCCCCATTAGTATTATGTTGGCTGTGGGTTTGTCATAGATGGCTTTTATTACATTGAGGTATGTCCCTTGTATGCCGATTTTGCTGAGAGTTTTAATCATAAAGCGATGCTGGATTTTGTTGAATGCTTTGTCTGCATCTATTGAGATGATCATGAGATTTTTGTTTCTAATTCTATTTATGTGGTGTATCACATCTATTGACTTGCATATGTTAAACCATCCCTGAATCCCTTGTATAAAACCCACTTGGTCATTGTGGATTATCTTTTTGATATGTTGTTGGATTAAGTTAACTAGTATTTTGTTAAGGATTTTACCATCCATGTTCATTAGTGATATCAGTCTGTAATTTTCTTTTTTGGTTATGTTCTTTTCTGGTTTTGGTATTAGGGTGATGCCAGCTTCATAGGATGAATTAGGGAGGGTTCCTTGTTTCTCTCTCTTGTGGAATAGTGTCAATAGGATTGATACCAATTCTTCTTTGAATGTCTAGTAGAATTCTGCTGTGAATCCCTCTGGTCCTGGACTTTTTTTGTTGGTAATGTTTTAATTACCATTTCAATCTTGCGGCTTGTTATTGGCCTGTTCAGGGTATCTAACTCTTCCTGATTTAAGCTAGGAGGGTTGTATTTTCCAGGAATTTATCCATCTTTTCTAGGTTTTCTTTTTTTCTTTCTTTTTTTTTTTTTTTGACAGAGTCTCGCTCTGTCACACAGGCTGGAGTGCAGTGGCGCAAGCTCCACTCACTGCAAGCTCTACCTCCTGGGTTCACGCCATTCTCCTGCCTCAGCCTCCTGAGTAGCTGGGACTACAGGCACCTGCCACCACACCAGGCTAATTTTTTGTATTTTTAGTAGAGACGGGGTTTCATCGTGTTAGCCAGGATGGTGTCAATCTGCTGACCTCTTGATCCGCCCGCCTAGGCCTCCCAACATCTTTTCTAGGTTTTCTAGTTTATGTGTACAAAGGTGTTCATAGTAGCCTTGAATGATCTTTTGTATTTCAGTGGTGTCAGTTGTAATATCTCCTGTTTCATTTCTTAGTGAGGTTATTTGGATTTTCTCTCTTCTTTTCTTGGTTAATTTTGCTAATGGTCTATCAATTTTATGTATCTTTTCAAAGAACCAGCCTTTTCGTTTCATTTATCTTTTGTATTTTTTTGTTTGTTTGTTTCAATTTCATTTAGTTCTTCTTTAATGTTGGTTATTTCCTTTCTTCTGCTGGGTTTGGGTTTGGTTTGTTCTTGTTTCTCTAGTTCCTTGAGGTGTAACCTTAGAATGTCAGTTTGTGCTGTCAGTCTTTTTGATGTAGATATTTTAGGGCTATGAACTTTCCTCTTAGCACCACCGTTGCTCTATCCCAGGGGTTTTGATAGGTTGTGTCACTATTGTCATTCAGTCTGAAGAATTTTTTAATTTCCATCTTGATTTTGTTTTTGACCCAGTGATCATTCAGGAGCAGATTATTTAATTTCCATATATTCGCATGGTTTTGAAGGTTCCTTTTGGAGTTAATTTTTAGTTTTATTCCACTGTGGTCTAAGAGAGTACTTGATATAATTTTAATTTTCTTAAATTTATTGAGGCTCGTTTTGTGGCCTATCATATGGTCCATCTTGGAGAAAATTCCATGCACTGTTGAATATAATGTGTATTCTGGGGTTGTTGGATGGAATGTTCTGTATGTATCTGTTAAATCCATTTGTTCCAAGGTATAGTTTAAATCCATTTTTCTTTGTTGACTTTCTGTCTTGATGATCTGTCTATCATTGTCAGTGGAGTATTGAAGTCTCTCACTATTATTATGTTGCTGTCTATCTCATTTCTTAGGTCTATTAGTAATTGTTTTATAATTTTGGGAGCTCCAGTTTTAGGTGCATATGTGTTTAGGATTGTGATATTTTCCTGTTGGACAAGGCCTTTAACCATTATATAATGTCCCTCTTTGTCTTTTTTAACTGCTGTTGCTTTAAAGTTTGTTTTGTCTGATACAAGAATAGCTACCTCTGCTTGCTTTTGGTGTCCGTTTGCATGAAATGCCTTTTTCCATCCCTTTCCTTTAAGTTTATGTGAGTCCTTTTGTGTTAGGTGAGTCTCCTGAAGGCAGCAGATAGTTGGTTAGTGAATTCTTATCTATTCTGAAGTTCTGTATCTTTTAAGTGGAGCATTTAGGCCATTTACATTCAATGTTAGTGTAGAGATGTGAGGTACCATTCCAATCATCATACTATTTGTTGCCTGTGTACCTTGGTTTTTTGTTTTTGCTTTTTAAATTGTATTTTTGTTTTATATGTCCTGTGAGATTTATGCTTTAAAGAGGTTCTGTTTTGATGTGTTTCCAGAATTTGTTTCAAGATTTAGGGCTCCTTTTAGCAGTTCTTGTAATGGTGGCTCGGTAGTGGCAAATTCTCTCAGTATTTGTTAGTCTGGAAAAGACTGTATCTTTCCTTCATATATGATGCTTAGTTTCACTGGGTACAAAATTCTTGGCTGATAATTGTTTCATTTGAGGAGGTTGAAGATAGGGCCCTAATCCCTTCTAGCTTGTAGGGTTTCTGCTGAGAAATCTGCTGTTAATCTGATAGATTTTCCCTTATACGTTACTGGTACTTTTGTCTCACAGCTCTTAAGATTCTTTCCTTCATCTTAACTTTAGATAACCTGATGACCTAGGAGATGTGCCTAGGAGATGATCCTTTTATGATGAATTTCCCAGGTGTTCTTTGTGCTTCTTATATTTCGATGTCTAGGTATCTAGCAAGGCCAGGGAAGTTTTCCTCAATTATTCCCCCAAATATGTTTTCCAAACTTTTAGATTTCTGTTCTTCCTCAGGAACACCAATTATTCTTAAGTTTGGTCATTTAACATAATCCCAAACTTCTTAGAGGCTTTGTTCATATTTTCTTATTCTTTTTTCTTTGTCTTTGTTGGATTGGGTTAATTCAAAGACCTTGTCTCCGAGCTCTGAATTTCTTTCTTCTATTTGTTCAATTCTATTGCTGGAGCTTTCCAGAGCATTTCACATTTCTAAAAGTGTGTCCGAAGTTTCCTGAATTTTTTATTGTTTGTTCTTTATGCTATCTATTTCCTTGAGTATTTCTCCCTTCACTTCTTGTAACGTTTTTTGGATTTCCTTGCATTGGGCTTCACCTTTCTCTGGTGCTTCCTTGATTAGCTTAATAACTAACCTCCTGAATTGTTTTTCAGGCAAATCAGGGATTTATTCTTGGTTTGGATCCATTGCTGGTGAGCTAGTGTGATTTTTGCGGGGGTGTAAAAGAGCCTCATTTTTTCATATTACCAGAGTTGGCTTTCTGGTTCCTTCTCATTTGGGTAGGCTCTGTCAGAAAGAGGGTCTAGGGCTGAAGGCTGTTGTTCAGATTCTTTTGTCCCATGGGCTGTTCCCCTGATGTAGTACTCTCTCCCTTTCCCTATGGATGTGGCTTCCTGAGAGCTGAGCTGTAGTGACTGTTATTTCTCTTCTGGGTCTAGCCATCCAGCAAGTCTGCCAGGCTCTGGGCTGGTACTGGTGGTTGTCTGCACAGAGTCCTATGATGTGAACCATCTGTGGGTCTCTCAGTTGTGGATACCAGCACCTGTTCTGGTGGAGGTGGCAGGGGGGTGAAATGGACTCTGTGAGGGTTCTTAGCTTTGGTGGTTTAATGCTCTATTTCTGTGCTGGTTGACCTCCTGCTGGGAGGTGGCGCTTTCCAGAGAGCATCAGCTGTGGTAGTATGGAGAGGAACTGGCAGTGGGCAGGACTCTAGAACACCCAAGAGTATATGCCCTTTGTCTTCAGCTACCAGGGTGGGTAGGGAAGGACCATCAGTTGGGGGCAGGGCTAGGCATGTCTGAGCTTAGACTCTCCTTAGGTGGGTCTTGCTGCGGCTGATGTGGGAGACGGGGGTGAGCTTCCCAGGTCAATGGAGTTGTGTTCCTAGGAGGATTATGGCTGCCTCTGCTGAGTCATGGAGATTGTCAGAGAAGTGAGGGAAAGTAACCAGTCACAGGCCTCACCCAGCTCCCATGCAATCAGAAGGGCCAGTCTCACTCCTAACATGCATCACCTAACAGCACCAAGTCTGTTTCCAGGCTGTGGGCAAGCAGGGCTGAGAACGTGCCCCAGGCTACCTGCCTCCCAGCTGCAAAAGAAAAGAGCTTTAGTTCTTCCCTCACCTGTGGAGTCTGCATGCCAGACTCACGCTCTCCCTGGGTTCTGGCCAGAAGGCTTTTCCACTGGTTCGAATTGTTACAAAGTTCAGCTGGAGGCTTCCTTCTCTCTGTGGCATTTTCCCCACACCTCTGGCCGTACTACTGAAGGATCCCTGTGATGCCAGGCAGGAATGGCCTGCTTGGGAACCCAGCAAGCTCCCAGGGCCTTTCCCGCTGCTTCCTCTACCCCTGTATTTCGCTCAGCTCTCTAAATTGATTCAGCTCCAGGAAATGTTGGAATCTTCTCCAGGAAACTGGACCTTCAGTTTCCCCAGTGGGGGGTGTGTGTTCAAGGGTAGAGGAACTCCCTTTCCCAATTCCATGGTTTGGGCACTCACAGTATTTGGGGTGTCTCCTGGGTCCTGCAGGAGCAGTCTGCTTCCTTCAGAGGGTCTGTGCGTCCTCTTGGGATTCCTTATTTATTCCTGCAGTCATTCTGGAGCTAAAAATTCACAATGCAAGCCTCCACACCCTGCTCTGTCCATCCGAGTTGGAGCTGCAATCTAGTCCTGCCTCCCGTCCACCATGATGATTGACACCTTGATTTTATCCTCATAAACTCATTTTGAACTTCTGACCTCCAGGACTGTAAGAGAATAAATTTGTGTTGTTTTAATCCACTAAGCTTGTGGTGATTTGTTACAGTAGCAATAGGAAACTAATACACCTGGGTACCAATTTCCTTGCTACCTTTGAGGGTGAATAGTCAGAAAGCACTTTGGTCCTCCCCAAACTACATCCCTCTGGCTGGACATATATGCTCCTGTCTTAACATCAGTGAGGACAGAGATAGAATGAAGTTGGTGTGGAGGGCACATAACAGGTGGTCCAGAAAAGAACAGGGTGATTCTCCCAGGCAAGGGTTGAATCTACAGACAGCAAAAACTAAAAGCAGGGAGGAACTCACAGAGTGCAGGAGGTCAGATCACAAACTCAACACTGAGGAACAAGACTGACATGCTCAGCTCCTAAGCCAGCAATGGCTCCCTCCTCTGTCTCTGTTTTGCAGGTCAATGGGGAATTGTTCACAATACTTATTTGCCACAGAAAGAGGTTAAAACCCCGCAGGAAAAACTTTGTATTAGGCTGAAATCAAAATAGAACAAAATGGCTGCATTCCCTTCCACCTGGACACGCTCATTAGACTTCTGAGGCCATGAAGATGTCAAAAAACACATTTGGGACCAAGTATTTGCCTCCGTGGCCTTCCCAAGATCTGCTCTTATGTACTAAACCTAGGACGCACTAAACTCTTCTTTGGAAACTTAGAAATTTCTTGGCCAGAATGGTTCACTTACACCCTCCCCACTCCCAACTATGCTCTTACCATTTTGGCACCTCTCTTAAGTGAAGAAAGAAGAGAAAAAAATCAAATGGGAGAAAGGATAGGAAATAAGAACACACCTGCACTGTACACCTTCTTGGTGCCAGGTTTCACGAGGCACATTTGACATATGGAACCATGTTTAAACCTCATTTTCACTTGATCATTTAAAAGTGGTTAAATCTCTTCTCCTGGAAGCGTTTGATATAGGAATGAAGTCGATATGCAAAGTAAAGTGTAGATTGTTAACAGGGTCCCCTTGTAAGTAGCTGTCGGAAGCACACGGCACTTCATCTCCAGGAGATGTTCAAAGAATAACGTCTATTTCTTTAAAATAAGTATTTATTTAAAAGTTTTTACACAGTATTTTAATACATGTTTTCTCATGCACATATTTTCTACATATAGTTAGAAACATATAGTTAGTACATAGTTTCCTCATTCTTGAATTCTGTATTTGTGAATTTTCTTATGAACTAAAATTTATTTGTAACTCCAAAATCAGTATTCATGGTGCTTTTGCAGTCATTTCTGTACATGCACAAAGTGGAGAATAATTTGAGTTGTCCAATGCACATTCCCAATGAGGTTGAACAAGCTGACACTCTGCCTTCTTGTTTCAGCTCTCATACAGTAAGCAATTATCCTTTCCAAGGCCTATTTAGTGCCATGTCTTTTGATGTTTTTGCTTTTTGTTGGTGATTTTGCTGTTTAAAATGGTCCCCAAACACAGTGCTAAAGTGCTGTCTATTGTTCTTAAGTACAAGAAGGCTCTGATGCACCTTACAGAGAAAATGTGTGTTAGATAAGTTTCATTCAAGAATCAGTTATGTTGGTATCGGAGGTGAGTTCAGTGTTAATGAATCAACAATGTACATTAAATAGGGTGTCTTTAATAAAAACACACGTAAACAAAGTTATGTATTGAACTCTTGACAAAAACATTGTGACCAGTGGCTTGCATGAGTTTGACCTGTACTTCCCCTAGGAGCAATGGTTCAGTATTCATTAACTCAGAGTTTGAGATGACTTTGTAGAACATAACTACCATGAGTAATGAGAATCGACTGTCATATTTTAAGTTTAAACTTTGTTTGTCACAAGACATAACTTTGAGTGTTAGTTGAATAAAACCATAGGGTCCAAGATTTGAAAAGGCCAAATGGCCACTTTGCAAGACATCCCTGCCACCCCTCCCTCCTACCCAAGTCTGCCATTTTGATGCAAATTGAAACTCCTTGGAAAAGAAGGATGGCAATGGAAATACACACATTTAACCAAACCACATCCCACACTTTCTGGTGAACACATGTCTAGAAGAGCAGCCCCCATTTTTTTTTCCTTCATTAAAAAAAAAAAAATCACTGAACTTGAAAGTTCCAGCTCATTTGTTCTGTCATATTGCTATGGAACAGGAAGAGGAAAACCACATACTCTCCCCATCCTAGATTGCAAAAGAGGGTAGCCCTTGGCCAAGACTTTAATTGAGCCTTCATGTGGCAATTGCAAAGCTTTTCAATGTCAATCTTAGCAGAGCTGAGGGGACAGTTACTAAGAGATAGTGCTACTTTCTACTCCCAGTGGACCCAGGTATACAAGGGGAAGGGGAAGGTTGAGAGAAAAGGAAGGAGCCAGTGACCTTCCACATAAAAATGTGAAGTTTAACTCCATTGAGGAGTTGTTGTCTGACAATTATGGGACATGAAGAAAAATGTGATTCTTCCTCCTTGTGGGTTTCTACTGTCTGACAATTACCATTTGTCCTTGGAGTGAGAAGGAAGGAGGAGAGAGGGAGAGGGAGAGAGGGAGATAGAGAGGGAGATAGACAGGGAAAGAGGGTGGAGCAGAGAGAGAGCAACACTCACTTGCCTTTCCACTTGATTCAACAGCCACTTACTGGAAAATGTGAAGGATGAAGAAGCTCGCCTGCAAAATATGCAAATGGGGAGATCTGGAAGGGAAGAGCTCATCCTGGGCTATCCTGTGGGTCCTAGAATGTCACCTCGCACTCCCCTCTGGAGCCCCAGGACATTCTCATAGACAGAGCTCAGCAGCAGGGAAAGTGTGGCTAGTGGGGGAAGAATGAATCCTGGGAGAGGCAAATTGCTGGGATAGGCAGTGGAGTTTCTAAAAAAGTGAGTTGAGAGTTTTTAGCATGAAGGGTTGTTGAATTTTGTCAAAGGCCTTTTCTGCATCTATTGAGATAATCATGTGGTTTTTATCTTTGGTTCTGTTTATATGCTGGATTACATTTATTGATTTGCGTATATTGAACCAGCCTTGCATCCCAGGGATGAAGCCCACTTGATCATGGTGGATAAGCTTTTTGATGTGCTGCTGGATTCTGTTTGCCAGTATTTTATTGAGGATTTTTGCATCAATGTTCATCAAGGATATTGGTCTAAAATTCTCTTTTTTGGTTGTGTCTCTGCCCGGCTTTGGTATCAGGATGATGCTGGCCTCATAAAATGAGTTAGGGAGGATTCCCTCTTTTTCTATTGATTGGAAGAGTTTCAGAAGGAATGGTACCAGTTCCTCCTTGTACCTCTGGTAGAATTCGGCTGTGAATCCATCTGGTCCTGGACTCTTTTTGGTTGGTAAGCTATTGATTATTGCCACAATTTCAGCTCCTGTTATTGGTCTATTCAGAGATTCAACTTCTTCCTGGTTTAGTCTTGGGAGAGTGTATGTGTCAAGGAATTTATCCATTACTTCTAGATTTTCTAGTTTATTTGCGTAGAGGTGTTTGTAGTATTCTCTGATGGTAGTTTGTATTTCTGTGGGATCAGTGGTGATATCCCCTTTATCATTTTTTATTGCATCTATTTGATTCTTCTCTCTTTTTTTCTTTATTAGTCTTGCTAGCAGTCTATCAATTTTGTTGATCCTTTCAAAAAACCAGCTCCTGGATTCATTAATTTTTTGAAGGGTTTTTTGTGTCTCTATTTCCTTCAGTTCTGCTCTGATTTTAGTTATTTCTTGCCTTCTGCTAGCTTTTGAATGTGTTTGCTCTTGCTTTTCTAGTTCTTTTAATTGTGATGTTAGGGTGTCAATTTTGGATCTTTCCTGCTTTCTCTTGTGGGCATTTAGTGCTATAAATTTCCCTCTACACACTGCTTTGAATGTGTTCCAGAGATTCTGGTATGTTGTGTCTTTGTTCTCGTTGGTTTCAAAGAACATCTTTATTTCTGCCTTCATTTCGTTATGTACCCAGTAGTCGTTCAGGAGCAGGTTGTTCAGTTTCCACGTAATTGAGCGGTTTTGAGTGAGTTTCTTAATCCTGAGTTCTAGTTTGATTGTACTGTGGTCTGAGAGATAGTTTGTTATAATTTCTGTTCTTTTACATTTGCTGAGGAGAGCTTTACTTCCAACTATGTGGTCAATTTTGGAATAGGTGTGGTGTGGTGCTGAAAAAACGTGAAGGACCTCTTCAAGGAGAACTACAAACCACTGCTCAATGAAATAAAAGAGGATACAAACAAATGGAAGAACATTCCATGCTCATGGGTAGGAAGAATCAATATCGTGAAAATGGCCACACTGCCCAAGGTAATTTATAGATTCAATGCCATCCCCATCAAGCTACCAATGACTTTCTTCACAGAATTGGAAAAAAACTACTTTAAAGTTCACATGGAACCAAAAAAGAGCCCGCATCGCCAAGTCAATCCTAAGCCAAAAGAACAAAGCTGGAGGCATCATGCTACCTGACTTCAAACTATACTACAAGGCTACAGTCACCAAAACAGCATGGTACTGGTACCAAAACAGAGATATAGATCAATGGAACAGAACAGAGCCCTCAGAAATAACGCCGCATATCTACAACTATCTGATCTTTGACAAACCTGAGAAAAACAAGCAATGGGGAAAGGATTCCCTATTTAATAAATGGTGCTGGGAAAACTGGCTAGCCATATGTAGAAAGCTGAAACTGGCTCCCTTCCTTACACCCTATACAAAAATCAATTCAAGATGGATTAAAGACTTAAACGTTAGATCTAAAACCATAAAAACCCTAGAAGAAAACCTAGGCATTACCATTCAGGACATAGGCATGGGCAAGGACTTCATGTCTAAAACACCAAAAGCAATGGCAACAAAATCCAAAATTGACAAATGGGATCTAATTAAACTAAAGAGCTTCTGCACAGCAAAAGAAACTACCATCAGAGTGAACAGGCAACCTACAAAATGGGAGAAAATTTTTGCCATCTACCCACATGACAAAGGGCTAATATCCAGAATCTACAATGAACTCAAACAAATTTACAAGAAAAAAACAAACAACCCCATCAAAAAGTGGGCGAAGGACATGAACAGACACTTCTCAAAAGAAGACATATATGCAGCCAAAAAACACACGAAAAAATGCTCACCATCATGGCCATCAGAGAAATGCAAATCAAAACCACAATGAGATATCATCTCACACCAGTTAGAATGGCAATCATTAAAAAGTCAGGAAACAACAGGTGCTGGAGAGGATGTGGAGAAACAGGAACACTTTTACACTGTTGGTGGGACTGTAAACTAGTTCAACCATTGTGGAAGTCAGTGTGGCGATTCCTCAGGGATCTAGAACTAGAAATACCACTTGACCCAGCCATCCCATTACTGGGTATATACCCAAAGGACTATAAATCATGCTGCTATAAAGACACATGCACACATATGTTTATTGCGGCACTACTCACAATAGTAAAGACTTGGAACCAACCCAAATGTCCAACAATGATAGACTGGATTAAGAAAATGTGGCACATACACACCATGGAATACTATGCAGCCATAAAAAATGATGAGTTCATGTCCTCTGTAGGGACATGGATGAAACTGGAAATCATCATTCTCAGTAAACTATCGCAAGAACAAAAAACCAAACACCGCATGTTCTCACTCATAGGTGGGAATTGAACAATGAGATCACATGGACACAGGAAGGGGAACATCACACTCTAGGGACTGTTGTGGGGTGGGGGGAGGGGGCAGGGATAGCATTGGGAGATATACCTAATGCTAGATGATGAGTTAGTGGGTGCAGCGCACCAGCATGGCACATGTATACATATGTAACTAACCTGCAGATTGTGCACATGTACCCTAAAACTTAAAGTATAATAATAAAAAAAAAAGTGAGTTGAGAGTCCTATAATGAGAATTACAGAGAAGTTGATGCTCCTTTAAAGACAAGAACAAGATACAAACATCTGCTCCCATCCCTTCCATTCATCCTGTACTAAAAGTTGGCACAATAAGAAGAAGAAAAAAATGTTATGAAAGATTAGGAAAGAAAAATCCATTGTCATTATTTGCAGAAAATATGACTGTCTACACAGAAAATCCAAAATAATCTAGTAAAAAGAAATAGACCTAATAAGAGAGTACAGCAGGATAGTTGGCCACAAGATCAAGCAACAAAAATTAATAGAGAACTTGACAATTCCACCCCAAAATTCAAGCCAAGGCAAATTTCTGGAGAGACTTATTCTACCAGGGAACAATACTTATTATAAAGCTGTGGTAATTAAAAGAGTGAGGCATTCAGGGAAGGATAGACAGACAGGCCAATGAAATAGAATATAAAGCCCCAGATGCAGATGCACATATATATGAGAATTGGCAAAATCAAGTTTTCTCCAAACTGTGGAAATCAAGGCTTAAGAGCTAATTTAATTTCAGCTGTAGAGAAATAAAGTGAGATTTTTACACACTTGGCTTTTTTGTTTTTGTTTTTGTTTTTCAAAACATTTGCATCTTCCTACCTACCCAGCACATTCTATGGTGGAGATGTTGAAAGGGACATGAGACAGGATAGAAAAGGAACTGTGGCCTAACCCCCTTCAGCCCCATGCTGATGCCTGGAGAGAAGCAGCAATGTCCAGGGGTCAGGGGTAGAACTGTGTCCAGGCACGCCTGGGTCACCAGCAGTGAAGGGAGCAGAAGGGGAGCTGGGTGCCATCATGGCCTGGCTACTGCCAGCTGGACACCTCATGAAGGACTTAAGAGAAACTCCTCTGTCAGGAGGCCAGGAGGCTGGGAGGCTAGCCTATGAGGAACTCTTCCTAAGCCCAGTCAAATACTGAGTACTACCAACAGAATCCCTCCACTGTGCATAACACACCAGCACCTCACTTCTTAAACGTATTCTGCAATTGCCCTTCCTGTGCCAAAAACACCACTTTCATGAAGACTTCCTCATCCATCTTTATCACAGTAATAATCCCTTCCTTCTCCTACCAACACCAAAGAGTGGCCCAAAGTTGCATCATTCATGGGCTCAGATTCTGTCCCCAAACAGCTGTCATCAGCTAATTTGTGTCCATTCCTACCTGGCCCTGGTCTCTTCCCTACTTAGTCCCCAAGACCATGAGAGTAACCCTGAACCTCATGCCTTGATGTTACCTACTCCAGTTTCTCTCATAGCTCTGAGCCCATTGGCTGGTTATAGCCCATGCTCAGCTCTGGGATCCCCATGCCATTGGGACTGAGTCCTAATGGATGCAGAAGAATTCCCCAGAATGAAGATCCAACTGTGCCCACAATGTGAGCATCTCCATTGCTCAGAGACTCCTGCCTCCTGTCTCACCAGAGGGCAGTCTCTAGGTTTCAGCACCAGCATAGACCAGCAACAATGACTGGTAGTTTAGACTCATGTGACCCAGCTCTACTTTTGGGCTTGATCCCTGGGCCTTGCCCCTGTAGCTCCCCAGTTCACTTCTTCTTCCCCCATCCAACCTGCAACCTCACTATCTCAGAAAGCCAGTGCCACCCAAATTGAGATGCTTGGCACCTTTACTCTTTCTTCATGTGCCCATCAGGATCTTAGAAAGAAACAAATTCAACTCAGCTGGTTCAAATGGGAAGCCTTTAATAAAGGTGCTATTTTCAGCAGTATGGGTGGGGCTAACAAGACCAACAAGGGTAACTGGGTCCCAGAGACAAGCAACAGACTACAGCATTACTGCCTTTAGGACTGGGGGCAAGGGAAGGAAATGGCATCACAGGAGTCCAGTGAGAGCTGGAGCCAGGTTAAGGGACTGCTCCTGGGGGTATGACACCACTGTCAAAGCAGGTGTGGAGGGTAAACCTCTCCTTCCATCTGCCCTTCAGTCTCAGGTACCTCCTGTTGTTCAAACCCAAGCAGAATCTAGCTGTCAAGGGAGCCTCAAAAGTGACATTCACAGGGTCAACCTCTGGGGTACAGAGAAGGTCTGGGGATGCATCCGTGGAGGTGGATGGAAACAGAACAAGCAGCCGACCCCTCTCATGGCAGGCCCTTCATTTCTCCTACAATCATAATAGCTTTTGCCCTATTGAGCCCAGACTCCGACTCTCCTGTCCTCCTGATAGGGGAGCTTCTCTTAAGTACTTCACAAGGTGTCCACCTGGCATCATGACTCTGATGATGCAAATTGCTAAATGTCTATTCCAACCACTCAGCTGCAAGTGAGACCGTGACTCTGATATCCTCCCATTCCTCAGAGGGGAAAGTGGAGAGGAGGGATTCCTGGCACTTCTCTGATACCCGGAGTTACTGGGAACTTATGGAAAGAGAACAGAGAGTCATGTCTCCCCCAGGAAGCTGCCAGTGGAGACACAGGCAGGTGGGACACAGCAAAAGGGAGGAGGACCACAGGAATAAGAAGCCCAAGACAAGACCCCTGTCCAATCGCTTGGGAGAGTGAAGTGAATCGCTTGGGAGACAGTCTGTTCTCTCATTCCAGGGGGTGCCCAACAAGAAGCAAAATGGCTCAGGCAACCCTGAGAGACTGTGTAAAAATGCTTATTCCAAACTCACACCTCTTCTTCTGTCCAGACCAGGGACAGGTTTCTAACCCCCACTTGGTCACATACAACTATCCTATCCTTAATATGTGTTTCTGTACCTGCTTCTCATATTCTTAATTGCTGCTACTACTTCTCTTTTGTAGGTCTATTTATGTCAACCCATCACTTCTTGTTGTCACATAGTCCCAATTTCACGTTCTTTGCCAATTTTGTGACTTAAAAATATGGTTGCCATAACAACTCTTGCAAAAATCATGGGCCAGCTGCATCATTTATCAGTTGGCATGTCCCACTTTGGAAAGACTTCCTGATAAAAGACATCCTGGGCCTCTATTTTATGTTAACACTGAGACTCAGGGACCAGAACCAACATGTTTACCACAGCGGGCACATGTAACCCTCTCAACTGCCCTCTGAGATGTGAACCACTATTAGTCCCATTTTACAGATGAGGAAACTAAGGCTCAGAGAGGTTGAGTAACTTGCCTTAGGTCATACCGCCAGTAAGGGTCAGAAGTGGGACATGTGAATACACAGAAATAGAGCGTGGAGTAGAGACCACCTGGGGTGGAGAGAGGGAAGAAATGGGTGATGCAGGTCAAAGGGCACAAAGTTGCCATTATATAGGATGAAAAAGCCTAGAGCGCTAACTACAGCAAGGTGACTGCTGTTAATAATGTTGTGTTGTAGACTGGAAATTTGCTGAGAGTAGATTTCAGATGTTCTTACCACACAAAAAGAAAAGGTAGCCATGTGAAAAGATGTATCTGTTAATTTGCTTAACTGTAGTCATCTTTTCACTATGTATATTTATATCAAAACATCATGTTGTATACCTTAAATAAATACAATCTTTTAAAAGTGGGACATGAACTCAGATCTGCGTGAGTCTAAAACACATGCTCTTGTGGAGTAAATCAAGGGTCTCCCATGTAAATGTCTTCAAAGATCGCCAAGTGAAGACACAAACATTGGAGATGATGATGCTGACCTCTAGGAGCCCCTACTCCTAACATTCACCCCTCCTCCTCCACCAGAGATCTGCGGTCTTTTCTAAATGACAGTTCTGCTCTGGGGCATGACCAGTTGAAGCTGTTCTCCTTCCTGAGCACCTGAGGTGTTAACTGAAATGCCTTCCTGGGGTTTCCCCACTATCATAATCACATCAGAATCTGATCCTAAGGCAGGGATTCAGGTGTAAGTGGTCAATTGAGAAATAATAAGATAACTAATTAATGAAGGAGAAATCAGTAAGAAAGCGGGGAAAGCAGGATACAGAAGGGGAAGAAGCCAAGGATGGGGTGTATTTCGGGTGGAGCCCCAGCCTCAGCCTGATCCCATGGTGAGCTCTGGAATATATATAACACTCGGACTCTGTCTCACCTCAGGTGCTGAGCTTCTGCATGCTCACACCGGTCCTGGGCTAGGAAGGGAGAAGGCTCGGGAGAGGGCATGAAACTCCAAGGCTCCTCTGGCTCACAGTTAGGCAAGGTGGCTCCACTGGCCAAGACGATCTTCCAAAAGGCACAGGTGCCAGTGTTAGCAACAAAGTACACGGAGCAGAGGATACCCCCAGAGGGATGGTAAAAGGAATCTCAGGGGAGCCGAGTGGCACAACAGCAGTGTCCACCACTGCTGTGGTCTGCACTTGTTTCCCAAATTTCACAGGTTGAAACTGAATTGCCCATGATAATATTAAGAGTTGGGCCCTTTAGGAGGTGATTAAGCCAGGCGGGAAGATCCTTCATGGATGGGATTTGAACCCTTATAAAAAAGCTTGAAGGAATGGGTTTCTTTTCTTCTGCTCTTCCACCATGTAGGGGGATGCAATGTTCAAGGCATCATCTTAGAATCAGAGACCAGCCCTTCACCAGACACTTGGACCCACTGTCACCTTAATCTTGGACTTCCAGCCTACAGAGTTATGAGAAATACGTTTCTATTGTTTATAAATTACCCAGTCTGTGGTATTTTGTTATAGCAGTGCAAACAGACTGTCACAGCAACACATACCAACTTCTCTCTTAAAACCAAGAGCCAAGATTGTTCTGCATCAGGGCAACAGATGGCTGGTCTCTCCTGGTGTTCTTTCTTTCTTTCTTTCTTTTTTTTTGAGACGGAGTTTCACTCTTGTCGCCCAGGCTGGAGTACAATGGTGCGATCTTGGCTCACTGCAACCTCTGCCTCCCGGGTTCAAGTGATTCTCCTGCCTCAGCCTCCTGAGTACCTGGGATTACAGGTATGCACCACCACACCTGGCTAATTTTGTATTTTTAGTAGAGACAGGGTTTCTCCATGTTGGTCAGGCTGGTCTCGAACTCCCGACTTCAGGTGATCCGCCCACCTTGGCCTCCCAAAGTGGTGTTCTGTCTTTCTAGGCAGTTCTGAGAATGTGCTGGTTTCTTTGCCAGCCCTTGTGTGAGTTTTACCCAACCCCTTCCAATTAGTGTCTTCTTCTCTGTCCTGCCAAATGTCTGTGATCTCAGAGTTAGGTACCAAAGCAGCATTTGACAGGATATACTTCTCTCTTCCCTTGTTGCAATTATTTTTCGGGCTTCTCCTCAGATTCTCTGTAGCTCTGCCTCTCCTCCTTGCCTTGTGTTTCAGAATGATACTGAACAAATGAATAGCCAGGAGCAGCTTCCCAGATGGGATGACCTGGGCCCAGGCACCTGGAGCCGAAGCCAGGCCCCCTGCCGCTGAGCCCTTTCAAGCTCAGCTCAACAACCTGCCATTGTGTCTTTGTTCCTTTTTACCAGCCTGCTTTATTCCAAGGACAGAAGAAAGAACCTGCGTTTTCTCCTGGGAGTGAGAAAGGTTGTGGGGAGTCATTCTGGGGAAGTTGAACTGAGAAAAAAATGGGGCAACTCCCAACTACTCTCCCCCACCGACTGCCACTGTCAGTACAGGAGTTGTACAAAATCAAAAAAAGCATGGCAGGTGGCTCTTAACAGGCCATTTCTTGCATCATCTCAGGCAGTTTGGCATCTCTCTTCCATCCCCTAGCACGCACAAGCACACATACACACACACAGAGAGAGAGAGAGAGAGAGAGAGAGAGAGAGAGAGAGTACACTGGATGGGTACACAGAGGACACATGGACAAATGTTCCTGTCCCGGTTGCCCTCCAAAGCTAAATCCATGTATGATATTTGAACAGTCCATAGAATCCTCAATGGTCTCTAAATAGGAAAATCAGGCCCAGAGTCTGCCAGCAACGTGTTCTGTGACCTCGCTGGCAGACTATGATCTGGAATTCAGATCTCCTGATCTTCAGTTCACATGGGGCAGTCCACGTTCTCTGCACCCTACAAGGGCAAGGTGAGGAGAGTCAACAGCAGGTTCTAGCCAGGCCCTGACTGCCATGGTTGGAAGATTTGTAGGGGAAGAGGCCTCCTAAAAACCCAAGAGATTAAACTCACGGCCTTTCTCAGGCCAGAGAGAGGCTTTCCCTGACAGTAGGGCTGCCAGACTTACAAGTTAAAATGGCCGGGCGCAGTGGCTCACACCTGTAATCCCAGCACTTTGGGAGGCCGAGGCGGGTGGAACATGAAGTCAGGAAATCGAGACCATCCTGGCTAGCACGGTGAAACCCCATCTCTACAAAAAAATACAAAAAATTAGCCAGGTATGGTGGCATGTGCCTGTAGTCCCAGCTACTCTGCAGGCTGAGGCGGGAGAACCACTTGAACCCTCTCCTGATTTCCAGTTCAGAGGTTCAGTCTGAAGTCAACAGAGGACTAGGGAGCAACTGGGGAAGTCAGAGATGTAAATAGTTTGAAACTAGAAATTCCAAAACTTCTAACCCACACCACTTCTTTGCCATATGAATTTCTAAGAAAGTGAGAAACAGACTTGCCATGCTGGAAAATCTGCCCATTGGGAATGCCACTCTAAGAAAGATGCCAAGCAGATTACCCTGAAAGTAGGTAGGTGCTCAATACTTATTTCTTAGATGAATGAATGAATGAATAAATGAATGAGCAAGCCAGGGTCAGAGCAGGACGTCAGGATGCCCAACGTCCAAGAGACAGCACTCCCATCCTGAATGGACATCTCCTCTTCTCTCCCAGCCCAGGCCTGAACCATCCCTCAGAGCTCAATAGAATCCTCTCCTCCTCCAAGAGCCAGGCAAGCTCCTGGTTGTCAAGGGCCTGGTTCACTCATTTAGGAATCCAAGGGCCTAGCCCAATTTAAAATTGGATTAATAAATGAAGGAATGAATGGCTGATTTGACCACAAGGACTTCAGAAGTCCAATAAACTAGCAGCTCTCTGGGATTGGAAGTACACAATGATAAGAATCCGTTATCACCAGTCACTCATTCATTCAATATTAAATTACCCACAGGCTCAGCTGAGCTTGCGGAGGTCCAAAGGAAACAGCTGCATCTATTCATGCAAACAGCCGCATTTGTTCCTCCAACCCTTTCTTCAAAATTGTTTCTACGCTTAGAAAACATCTGAGACAGATTGATCACTTTCAATAAGAATAGTCTCATTCTGGCTGGGTGTCAGGGCTCACACCTGTAATCCCAGCACTTTGAGAGTCCGAAGCAAGGGAATTACTTGAGGCCAGGAGTTCAAGACCAGCCTGGGCAACACAGTGAGACCCTGTCTCTACTAAAAATTTAAAAATTAGTCGGGCATGGTGGTGCACACCTGTAGTCCTAGCTACTCGGGAGGCTGAGGTGAGAGGATCACTTGAGCCCGGGATTTCAAGGCTGTAATCACCCCACTGCACTCCAGTCTGGGAAAAAGAGTAAGACACTGTCTCAAAAAAAAAAAAAAAAATAGAACAGTCTCATTCTGACATTGATTCATTTCTTAGCTACTGAAAAGCAGGTTCTGTCAAGTTCAAATCGAAACTACCACCTCGTATGCAATTTGAAACATCAATTCTCCTTCTAGTTCATGCCTAATCTATGGCTCATGGCTTTGCAATGAGGAAGGACTGTGAGTTGTTCTTCTGCTCTTCCTTTACTTCTTCCCTCCTCTGGGACAAAGCAGGAGAAAGAGGGATTAGAGAAAATAGTTAAACTAGGTTAATACTATGGTTGTGGTTTGCCTTTGGCTGGAGTGGCCTTCAGTGTACGGCAGGTTTTCAGCCTGTCTCCTGGTGGGGTGCATTGGTGGGGCCTTTGGAAGTGTCTCCACACAAGCCTCCATACCGTGCAGTTCTCTGCTGTGGGCAATGTACTTTCTGCATAACCTCAGGTGCTTCCTTCTTTCCAATTCTTGGCACAACAGTCCATCCCAAGCCTTCTTCCTGCTGGAGTCGCCTCACCTCTTGGGCAAGCTCCCATCAAGACCACTTAAACCTGGTGATCACCTATAGTATCCACTCACCCATCCCAGCCACACCAAATGCAAGAAGTCCTCACCTCCTTACCCTGCCATTCCAGGAAGTGCCAGCTAACATTCTTTCAGCATAGCTGGTAAAATGTGGGTCGCAGACCTTGTTTCACATGAGTGCCTCAGGTCCAACCTCTCCCAAGATCTCTCACCTTCATCTTCCCTGTGGCTACACCAAGATGGGACCACAGGATTCTGCATCTCAGCAGGCCACAAGCCAGGAAATAAGAAATATGCAGGGCCAGCATGGAAATAAACATGGAGAAAAGAGAGGAGACATCACAGCATCCCACACTGGGCTGAGTTTTCCTTTCCCCATGCCTCTCTAATAATTATTTCAAATATTTACAGTAGTCTTCTCATGAAGACTGGAGGTAGGAGAAGGGGTTGATGGCTGTTGAACCTTTTCTATTATTTTCCATTAAGTCTGGCATAGGGGTGTCTGGTACCTCTCTTTGGAATGAGGTAACCACATCTTGCCTTGTCCATTTTAGTACCTCCCTTTGGAAAGTGAGGGTAACTTTCACCTACCATCCTCACCTTTAGGACTTCACCAGAATCCTATGAGATCAAGAAAAGCCACTTCAGCTTCCTGTTAAGGTTCATTTATTCACTCATTCATCTAGTAATTCATTTGACACATTGTTAGAAAGTTCATTATTGAGTGCAGCAGTTGGAGACCTGACTTAAAAGATCTGTAAGATCTCACTGGGGGAAAGGATCTGGTTCCAACAATAAACTGAACCATCAGTAACAACAGGCTTTAAAAACAAACAAACAAAACAGTATAATCAATGACCACATTCATGTATGCAAAATCTGACTCTAGAGACATAACAACTACCCTGTACTCTGAAATTCAGACACTAAGAATATTTGGTTCCATTTGCAACACCACATTTTCACACAGGATGTTTATAAACCGAAGTTAATTGCCAGAAATAGCTACCCAGGATGGTGAAGGGTCTGAAAAACATGCTCTAGGAAGAAGCAGTAGAAGAGTCCACCAAAGAAAAGAACAGCCCAAAGGGAGAAATGGAAATAGTAGCTGCCCTCAGTCACACAAATAGTAATCATGCATGTGGGGCATAGTCTTAAGGAGTAGAAGTTGGGAGAAAGACAGAGGTTCCCTGAATACAGATTTGAGTTACATATATTGAATCACTTCCTAATGTTCAGAATCATCTAATTATTTGCACAGCCTGCCAATGAAGATCTAAGGTCCGGTTGATCATCTGTCATGGAGTTCTCTACTCCATGGAGTTTCTCTACTGCAGGGAGTTTCTCTACTGCAATAACCTGCAAGCATCATTTGTAGAGCATATTAAAACACAGATTCCCAGGTCCCACTCCAGGCTTGAAATCAGAACGTCTGGGAATGGGGCCCAACTGTCTTTGTGTTTCAATAAGTTCACAGGGGATTCTGAAGGCCCGACCAGGACTGACAATCAGCATTCTGTGAGATGGGGACCCACTCTGTGAACATTGCCAACTTCCAGATTGGACAGTTTTAAAACTATTTGGTAAGAGGAAGTCAGTTCAACTTAAACTAATGGACTGAACACACAAATTATTACCTAACCCTTCCCAAACAACACTTTTTTTTTTTTTTTTGAGACAGAGTCTCACTCTGTCACCCAGGCTGGAGTGCAGTGGTGTGCTCTTGGCTCACTGCAACCTTCACCTCCCTGGTTCAAGGGATTCTCATGCCTCAGCCTCCCGAGTAGCTGGGACTATAGGTATGTGCCACTGTACCTGGCTAATTTTTGTATTTTTTGGTAGAGACAGGGTTTCACCATGTTGGCCAGGCTGGTCTTAAACTCCTGGCCTCAAGTGATCCACCCGCCTTATCCTCTCAAAGTGCTGAGATGACAGGTGTGAGTCATTACACCTGGCCAAAACTTTTTAAAAGGCATAACCACAAAAATAAAGGTAGCGAGAGAGGCAGCACCAGCCACCATGTTTTGGAAGCTTGGTAGCAGTAGCAAGAGGGATAGCTGAATTAGTAGACTTGAGAAAGTGGAATTCAAGGCTAGTAGTGAGGAAATTCAAGAAGCAACCCCCTTTGCTCAGCAGAACCCCTGAAAGTTTCAGGCATTGGCATCATAACAGAAGGTGATGCTGAAAAGAGAATGAGGTCGAGAGTCTGGTTACAAAGCAAATAGACACCCAGATTCTCCTCCTCGGTACCATCCAAATATGGGAGGACTTTCCCCAGAGAGAACAAAGTGGAGGCACTGGGCACAACCAAGGTGCCACAGTGAAAACTGGAAAATAAGCAAAAATCCGTCTACATCCTACATGTGAACACCACAACCCTTGTCCTCCTCTGGCCCCCAGAATTCTGGTTATACATAACAAAGGCAGGGAAGAAACTCCTAGCTGACTGAGTTTACATGTGAAATGACTGAAAAATCTGCAAATAGCTACATTTGCCTGAAGTGACTGAATTAAGCATTAGGTATTCTGGTAGAAAGGGGGGGCTGTCTCGGTTTGGGTTACCCCAGAAGCAGACTGTGAGGCAAAGATTTGAGTGCAAGCGGCTTATTTGGGAAGTAGTCTCAGAAAATACTAGCAAGGGAGTGGGGAAGTGAGGCATAAAGTCAGCCCGTAAAGGCTGGGCAGATACTGCTGTGGGCACCTGGGACATAGTCTGTGAGACCTCTGGGAGACTGCACAGAGCATCCCTTGGAATTCTCACCCACCATCAATAGGAACGAAGAAGCTGGGTCAGTCATTAGCTAAGTCTGCTTCCTGGTTAACTCTCTGGTCCTTCCAGCCCACCCCACCCATCAGGAGTAGCCAGAGAAAGCCCTCAGGCAAGGAGGTACAGTAAGAAGCCACAGGGTTAGCATATACTGGAATAATGAATGCTGAGGAAACATTGTGGGCCATCAACGGTGTCAGCTACAGAGGTTCAAGATGATTAAATTCTTTTAGAAAACAAAGGAAACTTCCATTTTGCAACTCCGAGTTCTGTGGCCTTGAAATATAATGCCCGTTACAAACACAAATAAGAGAATTAAAGATGAAGAAGCGGTAATTTTCACCCCCAACACAGGATATTTTTCAACACCGGATGGAAACTGTGGGCCTCACAGCCTACAGAGGGGTGAAACGAGAGGGCAGTAGTCAGGGGACAGTGGAGTGCACTGCAGTATGGGAAGCATGAGAGGCTGCGGGACACAGACAGCATCCCTCTGGGGACTCCATGTGACTCCAGCCACATCTCAGTCTCTCTACCCTGCCCTGTGGTGCTCTGGGGTCTTGTGCCCATTGCTTTATTTCTCCATGAAAGTATTCTCCTGCTGTCTCCCATGCACGGGTGAACAATCTTCACCACAAAGCTGATGATATACACTTTCTTCTCCATGACTTCCCAGAAATTCCCTCTTATTTCCCTGGCTACTCATCCTTAAGAATTGACTTCCAGGAAGTTCTTGCTAACTTCCATGTTATCCCCAGGCTGGGCAAGTTGAACCTCTTCCAGCAGCAATGCGTATAGATCTGCCTTTTTAATTTAATGCTACATAATATTCTGTTGTATGGATCAACCACAATGTATTTAATTGGCCCCGTATTAACCCAAACGTCTTGTTAAATTCCTACCAAGAATGAAGTGCTAGGGGTACAAAATTTAATGAGACACAGTACCTATAAACAATGAATTCAGCGTGATGTGGTAAGCTGACATTTAACAACTTGATGTCGTTTGAATATTTGTCCCCTCCAGACCTCATGTTGAAATTTGATCCTCAGTGTTGAAGGTGAGACCTAATGTGAGATGTTTGGGTCAGGAGGACAGATCCCTCGTGAACAGATTAATGCCCTCCCTGGGGGCAAGGGTGGGTGAGTTCTCCTTCTATGAGTTCCTGAGAGGACTTGTTGTTAAAAAGAGCCTGGCATCTCCCCTGCTCTCTCTTGCTTCCTCTCTCACCATGTGATCTCTGCACATGCCCAGCTCCCCTTCACCTTCCACCATGAGGGGAAGCAGCCTAGGCTTTCATCAGATGCCCAAACTTTCAGCCAGCAGAATCATGAGCCAGATAAGACTTTCTTTGCATAACTTACCCAGCCTCAGGTATTCCTTTACAGCAACACAAACTAAAACAACAACTAACCATGATTAAATATGATCAGAGCTATGAGGGCATTATTAGCCAAATGTAACAAAAAAAAAAAAAAAGAATTGAAAGCAAATAAAAATGTTTGGATCTGAGAAGTTCCCTAGTGAGATCTTCCTTAAGAAAAACATTTTAAATGCCATATATAAATGATTTTAGACTCTTGCTACTCAAAGTGTATTCTGCAGACCAGCAGCATCAGCATCACCTGAGAGCTTGTTAGAGCTGCAGATTCTCCCCTCAGACTGCAGAATCAGGATCTTCAGTTTAACGAGATCCCCAGGTGATTCCTGTGCACATTACAATATGAGATGTACTAAGGTAAAGGATTTGTTGGTTTTACTATCTTGACCTCTTTCCCATTCCTTTAGAAACACTAATTAAGCCAATTAATTTGATGGCAAACCTTATGGGGGAAGAGTCTTTTGAAAATTGTCTATGTGCTGTACATAAAAAAAAAAAAACTATGAGTACAATACTGGATCTCACAGCTAGCTCTCAGGATCCTTCCTATGTCCAAGCCTCTATCCACGGATGTATTATTCGAGCTCTCCAAGTTTCTAAGTCTTTGTTCTATAAATTCTCAACTTTCCTACTAATGATTCCTTGCTCATTTTAATTCATCACTCACATCCCTAAAGTTGGGGACCAGTGGGAGGTGGAAGATATCAGGAGTGCCAACTTATCTTACAGGTCTTCCTTAATTCTGAATTGTAGGTAGTACAATTCTGGAGGCTAGCTCAAAGAGATATTCTAAAATGAATCATCTGGACAAAAAAAGAGACAAGAAAATGTAGATGTCTGGTCATTCAAAGACATTCTATATTAGGATGCTTCCCAAGGTGCTCTACATCACTACTTATCAGGGGACAGCAAATTAAAACTACAGTGAGATACGTCTACACACCCTCCAGAATGGCTAAAATTAAAGACTGATGAGATCAAGTATTGGTGAGGCTGGAGAGCAACCAGAACTCTTATATATGAAAGCATAAAGCAGTACAACCTCTTTGGAAGACTGGCAAACTCTGCTAAAATTAAACATGAACCTACCCTGTGATCCTTTTCCAGAATGTCATATAATTGGAATCAGCCTTTTCAAATTGGCTTCTAATAATATGCATTTAAGTTTCCTCCATGTCTTTTCATTGCTTTATAGCTCCTCTTTTTTTTTAAGCAATGAATAATATTTAATTGTCTGGATGTACCACAGTTTATTTATCCATTTACATACTGAAGGACATCTTGGTTGCTTCCAAGTTTTGGAAATTATGAATCAAGCTGCTATAAACATCCACAGGCATAATTAAGTGTGGACATAATTTTTTACCTCCTTTAGGTAGATAACAGGGAGTGCGATTGCTGGATCCTATGGTAAGAGTATGTTTCATTTTGCAATAAGCTGCCGAACTGTCATCCAAAGTGGCTGTACCATTTTGCATTTCCACCAGCAATGAATGAGAGTTCCTGTTGGCTCCACAATGTTGCCCCCATTTGATGTTGTCAGAGTTCTGGGTTTTGGCCATTCTTATAGGTGTGCAGTGGTACTTTAATTAATTTTATAATAATTTTGAATTATTTTTAATGTAAATAATCTTTTTATTTTCCTGATATTAACAGTGTTCTCCCTAAGGGGAAGAGAAAGTTGGCCTCTGTTCCCAGGCCTCCCCATAAGAATAAAACGCAAGGAAGAGCACCGTCAGCCTGAGAGGACTGTGGGAAAGGGATAGGGAGCATCTCCTCCTTCCACAACAGTGGTTCCAGCTTTTGGCCTCTTTCTGCTTCTTCCTCTCCCCTGTGTGCCCCTCCTCCAACTGCCTATCAGAGCCTAATGTGTATAACACTCACCATGTGCCAGACTCAACAGACGTTGCATGTACTTATTATATTATTTCCCCAGCATATTCAAAACATTTGAAAACAACTTTAAATAGAAACGAAATACCTTTTAAGTGAGGTTGAGAAAGGAGGTGGCTACATAAAGAAACAGTGAAAACAGTTACCAGGAGGAGAGAGTGGTGGGTAGACAATTTAGCAACATGATTCCATTTGAGTCCTCTGCTGTTTGTGGGTGATATTATGTCACTGAAACTGTCACAGTTAATCCACAAGGAAGTGGGTGGTGTTAACCAAAAGTGTGCTTCCAAAGGATGTTTCCTTAACTCGTGAATCCTGCAAGCCTAGAGAGTATACTGATGGGCCAGTGGGGCTACTTCTCCAGGTCCCCAAATGCAGTTGGTATATATATATGCACAGTACGGGAAATGGAAGCATGTCTGGATAAATCTTTACTCTCTCTGGGAGGCTGAACTTGATAATCCTCTCAACTGTTAATGAGTGTGGGAAAAGAAATTCAATAACATATACATGTGCATATATAAACAGACACATACACGTATGTACAGCATTCCTTAGCAATTACTTTATAAAAATGGAACCACGTTATTCATGCTTTTCTACAGCTAGCTTTTCTTACTCAACAATGCTTGGGAAAATGCCTCCAAGTCATCGGTGTAACTGATATATTTTTAATGGCTGCATAATATCCCATGATGTGGTTATACCATATTCAAGCATGCCTCCATTTACGGACATTCTTTATTCTCTATTTCTTTCAGCACAATAAACAATGTTGTAATAAGTATCTCTGTATCAATGTCTTTATGCATTGACAGTGGTTTTAGTTCCTGGGATAGATTTCCAAGACGGTACTACTGCAGCAAGGGTAGATGTATTTTTTTAATTTTTGTTTACTTTTATTCAGATATAATTTACAAACAGCAAAGTGCACAATTTTTACATGCATGGTTCAATGAATTTATAAAAGATGTTGCCAGATTGCTATTTATAATTCACATTTTCCATAGCAAGAAGCGAAACTGCCTTCTGCCCTCCCATCCCTGCAAGTGATATCCTTTTTTCTCTTTTTTTTGCAAGTCTCATGGGTATAACATAATATTCATTGTTACTTCAATTTGCATTTCTCTGCTGCTGGTGAGTTTGTCACATGTAGATTGACCATTTGAATTTGCTCTTCTGTGAATCATCTCTTCAAATCTTGTCCATTTTTTTTTCCATTGGGTAATTGGTCTTTCCCTCGTGAATCTGTAAAATCTCTTTTAACATTAAAGCTATTAACTCTGCCATCTGCATTACTGATATTTTTCAAAATCTGTCGTTTATTTACTAAAATGGTCTACCACTCATTTTTGCCATAGAAGGCTTTAAAAACAATTAATGGTGGGGGTGATGTGGGTAAAGATGGGTCAAGTAAAAAGAAAGAAAAAAAAAGTGGGGGTGCTGGGTGCCAGTGGCTCACACCTGTAATCCCAGAACTTTGGGAGGCTGAGGCAGGTGGATCATGAGGTCAAGAGATCGAGACCAACTTGGCCAACATTGTGAAACCCCGTCTCTACTAAAAATTCAAAAAAGATTAGCTGGGCATGGTGGCACGTGCCTGTAGTCCCAGCTACTCCGGAGGCTGAGGCAGGAGAATCACTTGAACCGGTGGTGGGTGGAGGTTGCAGTGAGCTGAGATCAAGCCACTGCACTCCAGCCTGGGTGACAGTGTGAGACTCTGTCTCAAAAAAATAAAAAAAAAACACTGTACTTTGCATTTGTGTAACATTACCTATAGGTTCAAGGCAATTAAATACAGAGTTAAAAATATTTTAAAATAGATAATGGCACTGCTTTTTATTTAAATTTATTTATTTATTTATTTTTTGAGACGGAGTCTCGCCCTGTAGCCCTGGCTGGAGTGCAATGGCACAATCTCAGCTCACTGCAACCTCCGCCTCCCTGGTTCAAGAGATTCTCCTGCCTCAGCTTCCCTAGTAGCTGGTATTACAGGCGCATGCCACCACACCCAGCTAATATTTCTATTTTTAGTAGAGATGGGGTTTCGCCATGTTGGCAGGCTGGTCTTGAACTCCTAACCTCAGGTGATCTGCCCCCACTTGACTTCCCAAAGTGCTGGGATTACAGGTGTATGCTACCGCGCCCGGCCAACACGGCTTTTTAAATTAAATTTTTATATTGAAATAATTGTAGATTCACATGAAGTTGCAAGGAATGATAGATTCAATATATCCTTTAGCTGGTTTCACCCTATAATAACATTTTGAAAAACTATAGTACAATATCACAATCAGGATATTGACATTGATACAGTCAAGATACAGAACATTTCACCACCACAAGAATCCCTCATGGTGCCCTTTTATAGGCCCACCCACATTCCTTCCATCCTTACCCCCGCTTTAATCCCTGAAAACCACTAATCTATTCTACAATTTTGTCATTTCAAGAATGCTATGTAAGTAGAATTGTACAGTATGTCACTTCTTAGGATTGGCTTTTTTCACTTGGCATAATTCTCTGGAGATTCATCCAGGCCATTGTAGTGTATCAATTGTCACCCTTTTTTTTTTTTTTTCAACTTTTAAGTTCTCAGTGTATGTGCAGGGTGTGCAGGTTTGTTACAAAGGTAAACGTGTGCCATGGTGGTTTGCTGCAGAGATCAACCCATCACCTAGGTATTAAACCCAGCATGCATTAGCTATTTTTCCTGATGCTCTCCCTCCCCCACCCCCACACAAGCCCCAGTGTGGGTTGTGCCCCCTACACCAGTGTCCATGTGTTCTCATTGTTCAGCTCCCACTTGTAAGTGAGAACAAGTGGTGTTTGGTTTTCTGTTCCTGCATTAGTTTGCAGGATAATGGCTTCAAGCTCCATCCATGTCCCTGCAAAGGACATGACCTCATTCCTTTTTATGGCTGCATAGTATTCCATGGTGTATATGTACCATATTTTCTTTATCCAGTCTATCATTGACAGGCATTTGGGTCGATTCCATGTCTTTGCTATTGTGAGTAGTGCTGCAATGAACATACACATGCATGTACCTTCATAATAGAATGATTTATATTCCTTTGGGTGTATATCCAGTAATGGGATTGCTGGGTCAAATAGTATTTCTGATTCTAGATCTTTGAGGAATCGCCACACTGTCTTCCACAATGGTTGGACTAATTTACATTCCTGTCAACAGTGTAAAAGCATTCCTGTTCCTCTCCAACCTTGCCAGCATCTGTTGTTTCTTGAATTGCTACCCCTTTTTACTCTGAGAAGTATTCATGGCATGAATGTACCACGGCTTGTTTAAGCCTTTAATTGAAGGACATCAGGGTTGTTTTCAGCTTAGGACTATTACAAAGAAACCTTCTGTGAACATTTGTGTACAGGTTTTGGTATGAACATAAGTGCTCATTTCTCATAAATGCCCAGGAGTGCAATTACTAGGTTGTGTGCTAGTTTAGTATTTAGATTTCAGAAAACTGGCCAAACTGCTTTCCATAGTGAATATACTACTTTATATTCCCAATAGCAATGTCTGAATGATCTAGTCTCTCCAAATCCTCACCAGTATTTGGTGTCATCACTATTTTAAGCATTCTGATAGATATGTAGTAACTGACATCGTCTACTGCGTTATCTACTGCAACACCATTGGTACTGACGTTTAACACGTTTTCTTGTCTTATTTGTTATCCTCTTTGGTGAAATGAAATTTGTTATCCTCTTATTTGTAGGTCCTCTTTGGTGAAATGTTCCTTCATGTCTTTTTCCTATTTTCTAATAGGATTTTTTGGGTTTTGTTTTACTGTTGTGATTGATAGTTCTTTATATTTTCTAGATATTAATCCTTTGCTAGGTATGTTGTTTTGCAATTATTTTCTTCTAGTTTCTAGTTTGTCTTTTCATACTCTTAACAGGTCTTTTGCAGAGCAAAAGTTATTAATTTCAAAGAGGTAAAATTTATCAATTTTTAACTTTATAGATTGTATTTTTGGTATCAAGTCTAGCTCTGAATTCACAATATTTTCTCCTTTTTCTCTAAAATTATATAGTTTTGCATTTTACATTTACATGATCTATTTGAGTTCATTTTTGTGTTAGATGTAAGACTTTGGTCAAGGCTTATTTTGTGCCTATGGACGTCCAATTACTCCAGCACTATTTATTAAAAAGGCTTTCCTTCCTCTGTTAAATTGCTTTTGGATCATTGTTAAAAATCACTTGACTCTAACTGTTTGGGGTTATTTCTGAGTTCCCTATTCTGCTCCATTGATCTATATGTTTATCTCTCTACCAATATGACATAGTCTTAATTAACTGTAATTACACAGTAAGCTTTCTGCAACATATGGAATGCTTGTGTACCCGCCAAAATTCATGTTGAAATCCTAACCTCCAGTGTAATGGTATGAGGAGGTGAGGGCTTTGGGAGATAAGTCATGAGGACGAAGCCCTCATGAATGTGTTAGTGCCCTATAAAAGGTACCCCAGAGAGCTCTCTTGCCCTCTTTCCACCATGGGAAAGTACAGTGAGAAGATAGCAGTCTGCAACTAGGAAGAGGGCCCTCACCAGAGCAGAGTCATGGTGACACCCTGATCTCAGATGTACAGCATCCAGAACCATGAGAAATAAATGTTTGTTGTTTATAAGCCACCCAGTCTATGATACTTTGTAATAGCATCCCAAACTGACTAAGATACCTTGGAATCAGGTAGACTGTTTCTTACTGTTTTATTTTTCATTTTCAGAACTGTTTGAGATATTTTAGTTCTTTTGTCCTTTTATATAAAATTTAGAATAAACTTATCTATATCTATTTTTTAAAATCCTTCATGGATTTTGATAAGAATTGTGTTAAACCTTTCAATTTAAGGAGGATTAACACCTTCACTCTGTTGAGCCTTCCAAACTATGAATATAATATGTCCATTTGTATAGAACTCTTCTTTGGGCAATGTTGTCTAGTTCTCAGCATACAAGTCTTGTACATGTTTTGTTAGGTTTCCACCTAAGCATTTTTTGAGGGATTGTAAATGGCATTGGTACCATTCTGGTACCCACATGTTAATTGCTAGTATATAGAAATGCTGCTGATTTTTGTATATTTCTCTTGTATCCTGCAACCTTGCTAAACTCACTTATTAGTTTCAAGAGTATCTTTGTATATTCCTTGTGATTTCTGAAGAAAGCCATCACGTTATCTGAAAATTGAGATCATTTTATTTCTTCTTTCTGGTTTTGAATGTCATTTATTTCCTTTCCTTGCTTTATTGCTCTGGCTAGAACTTCTAGCACTATGTTTAATAAGACTGGTGAGAGCACACATCCTTGCCTTATTCCCAGTCTTATGAAGAAAGCATTCAGTCTTTCATCATTAAGTGTAATGTTAGCTCTAGGTTTTTATAGATGCTTTTTATTAAGTTGAGAAAGTTCCCCTCTATTACTATTTTTCTAAGAGTTTTTATCATGAATGAGTGTTGAATTTTATCTAATACTTCTGCATTAATTGATATGATCATATGGCTTTTCTTCTTTAACCTGTTAATACGGTGGTCGATTTTGTTTTTTGAGATGAGAGCTTGCTATGTTGCCCAGGCTAGACTCAAATTCTTAGGCTTAAGAGATCCTCCCACCTCAGCCTCTTCAGTAGCTGGGACTATGAACGCATGCCACTACATCCAGCCTATGGTGGTTAATACTGATTTCAAACATTGAACTAGCTTTGTGCTCCTGGAGTAAACTCCGCTTGGTGTATAATTCTTTTGATATATTGCTATCTTTCTGTATGTTACTTGGACATTTTTTAGAATTCTGTTTTGATTTACCTATAGTGGCTTTGGGTGTATCACTTTGAATCAATTTTTTAGTGTTCCTCTAGGTATTATATTATATATACATAATTTATCACAGCTATCATTTTACCAGTTCCAGTGAAATGTAGTAACCTTACCTCCCTTCATGTCTCTTTACCCTCCCTAATGATAATTCATGTCTTTTTACCCTCCCTAATGATAATACAATATAATTATCATTAGAGAGGGTAAAAATTAAATATTTGCACTATGTACATTTAGAACCACATCAGATAGTGTTATAATTTTTGCTTCAAATGTCAAATAAAATTTTTAAAACTCAAGAGAAGAATGAAAGTCTATTGTAATTATCTACACTTTTGCTTACCTTGTTTTCTTTCCCCCAATATACCGTGATTTCTATTTTATCATTTTATTTCTGTTTAGATAACTGATTTAGCATTCTTTTAGGGTAGGTCTGCTAGTGACAAATTCTCTTTTTTTTTTTTTCTTCTATCTGAGAATGCTTTGGTTTTCCCTTCATTTTGGAAGTAAGTTTTCACTGGATGTAGGATTCTGTGTTGACATTTCTTTTCTTTCAGTAATTGAAAAATATTGTATCACTTCCTCTTGACTTGCATGTTTTTTTTAATGAGAAATCTGTCATAATGGGTTTTTCCTCTGTACGTAAGGTGTAATTTCTCTCTTGCTGCTTTCCAAGATTATTTTCTTTATATTTAGTTTTCAGAAGCTTGCTTATAATGTGTCTTAGTGTGAATTTCTTTGAGTTTATCCTGTCTGGGGTTTACTTAAACTTGAATTTATAGGTTTATGTCTTTTGGCAACCTTAGGAAGTTTTCAGTCATTACTTCTTCATTTACTTTTTCAGCCCCACTCACTTTTTCCTTTATTTCTGGTACTCCAGTGACATAAATGTTACCTATTTTGTTATAATCATACAAGTCTCTGAGTTTCTAAGTTTTTAAGTCTATTTTCTCTCTTTTGTTCAGATTGGGTCATTTCTGTTGTTCTATCTTCCAGATCATTTACGATTCTTTCATCTCTCCCCTCTATTCAGATGTTAAACCCATCCACTGAGTTTTTTATTCTGATTATTGTATTTTCACTTCTGAAATCTCTATTTGGTTCTTTTTTATATATTCTATTTCTTTTCTAAAATCTTTTTTAAAAACCTTTTTTAAGTACGTTCATAATTGCTTACTGAAGCATTTGTCTAATGACTGCTTTAAAATCTTTGTCAGATCATTTTAATATCTCTATAATCTCAGTGTAGGCATCAATTGATTGTCTTTTTTCTTTGAGATGGAGTCTCACTCTATCACCCAGGCTGGAGTGCAGTGGCATAATCTCAGCTCACTGGAACCTCCACCTCCCAGGCTCAAGCGATTCTCCTGCTTCAGCCTCCCTAGTGGCTGGGATTACAGTCGCGCACCACCACGCCCTGTTAATTTCTGCAATTTTTTTTTTTTAGTTGAGATGGGGTTTCGCCATGTTGGCCAGGCTGGTCTCGAACTCCTGTCCTCAAGTAATCCACCCTCCTGGGCTTCCCAAAGTGCTGGGGTTACAGACATGAGCCACTGCGCCTGGCTAATTGATTGTCTTTTTAAAATTCAGCTTCGGGTCATTCTTGGTCTTGGCATGATGAGTGATTTTTCTACTGAAATCTGAACATTTTGAAACTCTGGGTCTTATTTAAAACTCCTGTTTTAGTTGGCTTCTGACGCTGCTCCAGCAGGGAAGAGGAGAAGAGCGCCGCCTCATTACTTTTACCTGTGGGTAGAAGGCCAGATTCCCCACCTGATCTCTACTGATACCTGATAAGGGGAGGGCAGCCTTATTACTGCCAGGTGGAGGAGGTACCCAGGCTTTCCAAGTGCTTTCCATTGACGCTGTGGTATAAAGAATCACCTCATTATTTCCCAGTGGAGAGGAAAGTCTGGGCTACCTACTCAATCTATTCTGACAGCATCTTGTCCAGGAGGTATGGGGAGTCATTTTATAGCCTGGCAAGGCTGAAAGTGTAGGCCCTCCACTCAACATTTGTTGGCAGGGCTGGGAATGGGGCCATACTTTTTGTGGTGTTTGGCTAGAGTAGAACAGTTATTCTCTAAAATATGTCTGTATTTCTAAGCTTTCCTGGTCCTTTGGCTGGAGAGAGCAGACTTCACTTGGACTTTTTTTTTCTGTCTGCATCCATTGACATTTCCAGGCTGCTAGCTTCTTTGCCTTCCAGTCTGAGATGTATGAAGCAAAAAACAAACAAAACCAGGACAGAGAACTCACCTCCTATCATTCCTTGGGAAAAGTACATCTACATCTTCCCAGAAGCAGAAATCCTCCTGCTTTTCTTTTCTTTTCTTTTTAAATATTTGATTGACAAATAAAAATTGTATATATACCAGGTGTACAGCATGATTTGATGTATGTATACATTGTGTAATGCTTACCACAATCAAACTACTTAACATATCCATCACCACCTAGAGTTACTATGTGTATGTGTGCATTTTGTGTGTGTGTGTGTGTGTTGTGAAGGCACATAAAAACTGCTCTTTTATCATATTTCAAGCAAACAATACAACTATAGTCACCACGCTGTACATTAGATCAACAGAATTTATTCACCTTATAACTTCAAGTTTATACCCCTTGATCAACATCTTCCCATTTTTCATACCTCCCTGCCCCTGGAAACCACAGTCCTACTCTTTGCTTATATAAGTTTGACTTTTAGATTTCACATGTAAGTGAGATCATACAATATTTGTCTTTCTATGTCTGGCTTATTCCGTTTAGTGTACTATTCTCCAGGTTTTTCCATGTTGCTGCAAATGGCAGGATTTTCTTCTTTTTTATAGATGAAGACTATTCCATTACAGGTATAGATATTCTTTACACCAGCAAATTGAATAACCTAGAAGAAATTGATACATTCCAGAAAATGTACAACCTACCAGACAAAATCATGAGGAAATAGAAAAATCTAAACAGACCAATAACTAGTAAGGAGACTGAATCGGTAATCAAAAACTTCCTAACAAAGAAAAGCCCAGATTTGAAGGGTTTCATAGCTGAATTCTACCTAGCACTTAAAGAAATAGGAAGTGATATTACCAAGATAATGGAATAAGAAGTCACTCGCTCACATCCCCCCACAAACCACAACAATTCTCCACCTATCCGCAGACAAAAGTCTTTTCGCAGGAACCATGGGATTTAGGTAGAGGTTATAAAATCTTGATGAAGCTCAAAACCTGAGAGGGTCATTTTGAAACTGCAGACACACACCCAGGCTGCAGTCCTGCCAATTGTGGTCCTGTACTTTGGGAGGTAAGAGAATTGCTTGCGTCCAGGAATTCAAGACCAGCCTGGGCAACATAGTAAAACCTTGTCTCTGCAAAAAATAATTTTAAAATTAGCCAGCCATGGTGGTGCACAGCTGCAGTCCTAGCTATTCAAGAGGCTGAGGCAGGAGGATAGCTTGAACCCAGGTGTTTGAGGTTGCAATGAGCTATGATTGCACCACTGCCCTCTAGCCAGGGTGACAGAATGAGCCCCTGTCTCTAAAAGAAAGGAAGAGGAAAAAAAGAAATGAAGGAGAGATACAAATATTCCAAGACTTACAAAACCTGAAGAAGTTTATCAACACAAGACCTGCCTTACAAGAAATGCTAAAAGGAGTTATTTGAAATAAAAGGATAACTATGAAAACATATGAAAGTATGAAACTCACTGGTAAAGGTAAACATACTCAAATTCTGAATACTGTAAGGGAAATATGAATCAGTCATAATTCTAGACAAATTAATTTAAAAAGTTAAAAGACAAATTGATTTAAAAAACTAGAGCTGTAAAAAAATTGGTTAATGAATACATAATATAAATAGATGATACTAATAGCATAAAATGTGGGGAGAAGGAGAAGTATAATTGTAGAGCCTTTGTATGCTACTGAAGTTAAGGAACTATTAGCTTAAATTAGGACATTATAACTATAAGATGTTAAAAAATAAAGAGAAGGCCAGGCATGGTGGCTCACACCTGTAATCCCAACAGTTTGGCAGGCCAAGATGGGAGGATTGCTTGAGGCCGGGAGTTCAAGACCAGCCTGGCAAACATGGTGAAACCCGTTTCTACTAAAAAAAAAACAAAAATACGAAAACTAGCCAGGTGTGGTGGCACATGCCTGTAATCCCAGCTTCTTGGGAGGCTGAGGCACAAGAATTGCTTGAACCCAGGAGGTGGATATTGCAGTGAGCTGAGATCGTGCCACTGCACTCCAGCCTGGGCCACTGAGCAAGACTCTGTCTCAAAAATAAAAATGAAATAAAGAGAAAAGAATCAAGTCATACCACTATAAAAATACAACAAATTGCAAAGAAAGTGATTGGAAGTGAGGAATAAGAGAAATATAAACTAGCTAGTAAAAAATTAACAAAATGCCAGTAGCAAGTTCTTACCTATCAATAACCACTTTATATGTAAATAGGTTAAATTCTCCAATTAAAAGACACAGAGTGGCCGGATGAATTAAGATCCAATAATATGCTGCCTGTAAGAGATTCATTTTAATCTTAAAGACACACATAGTTTGAGAGTGAAAGGATGACAAAAGATAGTTCAGTCAAATGGTAACCAAAAAAGAGCAGGGGTGGCTATATTTGTATCAGACAAAATAAACTTTAAGTCAAAAACTGTATAAAGAGATGAAGAAGGTTATTATACTATGATAAAGGTATTCATTCATAAAGAGGACATAACAACTTTAAATATATATGCACCTAACATTGGAGCACATAAACATATAAAGCAATATTAATAGATCTGAAGGATGAGATAGACTACAATATAACAATACTAGGAGAGTTAAATACTCCACTTTCAACAGTGAACAGATCATCCAGACAGAAAATCAATAGGGAAATAGCGGATTTGAACAACACTTTAGACCAGATGGATCTAACAGACATATATAGAACTCTCTATCCAACTGCAAAAGAATGCACATTCTTCTCTAGCACCTACAAAGAATTCTCTAGGCTAGATCATATGTTAGGCCACAAACAAGTCTTAACAAACTTTAAAAGACTGAAATAATATCAAGTATCTTTTCTAACCATAATAGAAATAAAACTAGAAATCAATAACAGAAGGAGTCTTGGAAAACACACAAATACATGGACATTAAACTACATGCTTCTGAACCAGCCCAGGCGACAGTGCAAGACTGTCACAAAAAAAAAAAAAAAAGAAAAAAAAAAGAAAAGAAAAGAAAGAAAAAAAAGAAAAAGAAAAAAGAAAGAAACTCTTGGGAGCTTTATGGCCCCACCCATCACCTGAGAAACCAAAATATTTATCCTGGCCAACTTAGGGCAAGCTTAGATCCCCCTACTACTACTGCAGCTGGTACACTCTTCAAAATGCCACCTCCTGGCTGGAGGCCAACAAACACGGACCATCACAGCAACTCATGACTGAATAATCCTGATCCCAGGAAGGAGAAGACAACAATTAATTCCACCACCTGCAGCATCCTGGCTAACCAGAGGTCCTGAGTGTGTCCACATGACAACTTCACTGCTAGCATAACCAGTATCTGAGAAAGCTAGCAGACTAAATCTTTCTACAACCAAGGACTCACAGAGTATACTTCACTTCCCTGCCACCTTCACCAGAACAGGTGCTTGTATCCATGGCTGAGAGACCTGAAGTTGGATCACATCAAAGGACTCTTTGCAGACATTCCCTAGTACCAGCCCAGATCCTGGTAGCCCCACTACCAGCCCCACTAGACCCAGAAGAACAATAACAATCACTGCAGTCCAGCTCTCAGGAAGCCCCATTCCTAGGGGAAAGAGGAGAACACCACATCAAGGGATTGCCCCACAAGACAAGATAATCTAAACAGCAGGTCTTGATTTGGAGACCATTCCACTGAAATAGTCTTCCTAGATGAAAAGGAACCAGAAAAGTAGTTCCGGTAATATGACAAAACAAGGTTCTGTAACACTCTCACAAGATCACACCAGCTCCCCAGCAGTAGATCCAAACCAAAAAGAAATCTCTGAATTGCCAGGTAAAGAATTCAGAAGGTTGATTATTAAGCTCCTCAAGGAGATATCAGAGAAAGGTGAAAATCAATTAAAAGAAATTAAAAAAACATACAGTATATGGATGAAAAATTCTCCTTAGAAATATATATGATAAAGAAAAAAACAATCACAACTTCTAGAAATGAAAGACACAGTTAGAGAAATACAAAATGGAGTGGAAAGTTTCGACAATATACTAGAACAAGTAGAAGAAAGAACTTTAGAGCTTGAAGAAAAGGCTTTCAAATTAGACAATGACAAAGAAAAATGAAAAAAAAAAAAATAGCTTCCAAGAAATTAGGGATTATGTTAAATGGCCAAACCTAAGAATGATTGGTGTCCCTGAGGAAAAAGAGAAACCTAAAAGTTTGGAAAACTTATTTGAGGGAATAATTGAGGAAAACTTCCCTGGCCTTGCTAGAGATCTAGACATTCAAGTATGAGAAGCTCAAAGAACATCTGGGAAATTCATCACAAAAAGATCGTCACCTAGGCACATGGTCATAGGGTTACCTAAAGTCAAGACAAAGGAAAGAATCTTTAGAGCTGTGAGACAAAAGCATCAAGTAGCCTACAAAGGAAAACTTACCAGATTAACAGCAGATTTCTCAGCAGAAATCTTACAAGCCAGAAGGGATCAGGGTCCCATCATTAGCCTTTTGAAATAAAATAATTGCTAGCCAAGAATTTTGTATCCATCAAAACTAAGCTTCATAAATGAAGGAGAGATAAAGTATTTTTCAGACAAAAAAATTCTGAGAGAATTTGCCACTACTAAGTCAGCACTACAAGAAATGCTAAAAGGAATTCTAAATCTTGAGATGAAACCTTGAAATACACCAAAATAGAACCTCCTTAAAGCATAAATCTCACAGGGCCTATAAAAAAAACCACAATGACAAAAAAGGTATTAAGGCAACAACGAGCATGATGAATAGAATAGTACCTCACGTCTCAATAGTAATGTTGAATGTAAATGGCCTAAATGCTCCACTTAAAAGATACGGGATGGTAGAATGGATAAAAATCTACCAACCAAGTATCCACTGTCTTCAAGAGACTCATCTAACACATAAGGACTCACATAAACTTAAGGTAAAGGGGTAGAAAAAGATATTCCACACAAATGGAAACCAAAAGTGAGCAGGAGTAGCTATTCTTATATCAGACAAAACAGACTTTAAAGCAACAACGTAAAAATAGACAAGAAACATAACATAATAATAAAACGATTAGTCCAACAGGAAAAATTACAATCCTAAATATATATGCACCTAACATTGGAGCTAGCAAATTTACAAAACAATTACTACTAGACCTAAGAAATGGGATAGACAGCAACATAATAATAGTGGGGGACTTCAATGCTCCACTGACAACACTAAACAGGTCATCAAGAGAGAAGGTCAACAAAGAAACAATGTACCTAAACTATACCCTAGAACTAATGGACTTAACAGATATTTACAGAACATGCTACCCAACAACTGCAGAATATACATTCTTTTCATCAGCATTTGGGACATTCTCCAAGATATACCACATAATAGGTCACAAAACAAGTCTCAATAAATTTAAGAAAATTAAAATTATATCAAGTATCCTCTCAAACAACAGTAGAATAAAACTGCAAAGTAACTCCAAAAGGAACCTTCACAACTATACAAATGCATAAAAAACTTTTAAGTCTGCTCTTGAATGATCTTTGGGTTAACAATAAAATCAAGATGGTAATTTAAAAATTCTTTGAGCTGAATGATAATAGTGGCAAAACTTAGCAAAATCTTTGGAATAGAGCAAAAGCAGTGCTACAAGGAAAGTTCATAGCATTAAATGCCTATATTAAAAAAGTCTGAAAGAGTGTAAATAGATAATCTAAGGTCATACCTCAAGGAACTAGAGAAACAAGAACAAACCAAACCCAAACCCAGCAGAAGAAAAGAAATAAAAAGGTCAGAGCAGAACTAAATAAAATTGAAACAAAAAATACAAAAGATAAATAAAACAAAAAGCTGGTTCTTTGAAAATATAAACCAAATTAATAGACCATTAGTGAGATTAACCAAGAAGAAAAGAGAGAAGATCCAAATAAGCTCAATTAGAAATGAAATGGGAGATATTACAACTGATATCACAGAAATACAAAAGATCATTTAAGGTTACTATGAACACCTTTACATGCACAAACCAGAAAATTTAGAGGAGATGGATAAATTCCTGGAAATATACAAGCCTCCTAGATTAAGTCAGGAAAAAGTAGAAAACATGAACACACCAATAACAAGTAGCAAGATTGAAACGGTAATTTTAAAACAGCAAATTTAAATTGCCAACAACAAAAAAAGTCCAGGACCAGATGGATTCACAGCTAAATTCTATCAGACATTCAAAGAAGAATTGGTACCAATCTTGATGAAACTATTCCAAAAGATAAAGAAGGAATCCTCTTTAAATTATTCTATGAAGCCAGTATCACCCTAATACCAAAACCAGGAAAGGACATAGAAAAAACAAAACAAAACAGAAAACTACAGACCAATATCCCTGATGAACATGGATGCAAAAATCCTCAACAAAATACTAAATAAATGAATCCAACATATCAAAAAGAGAATACACCATGATCAAGTGGGTTTCATATCAGGGATCCAGGGATGATTTAACATAAGCAAGTCAATAAATGCGATGCATCACATAAAGGAAATTAAAAACAAAAACCATGTGATCATCTCAATAGATACAGAAAAAGGATTTGACAAAATCCAGCTTTCCTTTATGATGAAAACCCTCAGCAAAAAATGGCATACAGGGAATATACCTCAAAGTAATAAAAGCCACCTATGACAAACCCACAGCCAACATTATACTAAACTGGGAAAAGTTGAAAGCATTCCCCCTAAGAATTGGAACAAGACAAGGATGCCCACTTTCAAAACTTGTCTTCAACACAGTATTGGAAGTCCTAGCCAGAACAATCAGACAAGAGAAAGAAATAAATGGCATCCAAATTGATAAAAAGGAAGTCAAACTGTCGCTGTTCACCAAAGATAGGATCATATACCAAATAAACCTTAAAGACTCATCCAAAAAGCTCCTACATCTGATAAATTCGATAAAGTTTCAGGATACAAAATCAATGTACACATATCAGTAGCACTGCTATACGCCAACAATGACCAAGCTGAGAAACAAATCAAGAACTCAATCCCTTTTACAACAGCTGCTAAAAAAAAAAAAATTACTTAGGAATATACCTAACCAAGGAGGTGAAAGATCTCTACAAGGAAAACTATAAAACACTGCTGAAAGAAATCATCAATGACCCAAACAAATGGAAACACATCCTATGTTCATGGATATGTAGACTCAATATTGTCAAAATGACCATACTGTCAAAAGCAATGTACAGATTCGATGGAATTTCCATCAAAGTACTATCATAATTCTTCACGAACTAGAAAAAACAATCTTAAAATTCATATGGAACCAAAAAAAAAAAAAAAAAAAAGGCTCACATAGCCAAAGCAAGACTAAGCAAAAAAACAAATCTAGAGGCATCACATTACTTGACTTCAAACTATACTACAAGGCTATGGTTACCAAAACAGCATAGTACTTGTATAAAAATAAGCACATAGGCCAAGGAAACAGAATAAAGAAACCAAAAATAAAGCCAAATACTTACAGCCAACTGGTCTTTGACAAAAGCAAACAAAAACATAAAGTGGGGGAGGGACACCCTATTCAACAAATGATCCTGGGATAATTGGCAAACCACATGTAGAAGAATGAAACTGGACCCTCATCTCTCACCCTGTACAACAATTAACTAAAGAGGGATCAAAGACTTAAATCTTAGACCTGAAACTATAAAAATTCTAGAAGATAACATTAGAAAAACTCTTCCAGACATTGACTTAGGAAAAGAGTTTATGGTGAAGAACCCAAAAGCAAATGCAACAAAAATAAAAATAAATAGATGGGACCTACTTAAACTAAAAGGCTTCTGCACAGCAAAAGAAATAGTCAGTAGAGTAAACAGACAATCCACAGAATGGAAGAAAATATTCACAAACTATGCATCATTGACAAAGGACTAATATCCAGAATCTACAAGGAACTCAACAAATCAGCAAGAAAAAAACAAATAATCCCATTGAAAAGTGGGCAAAGGACATGAATAGACAGTTATCAAAAGAAGATATACAAATGGCCAACAAACATGTGAAAAAAATGCTCGATGTCACTAATTATCAGGGAAATGCAAATTAAAACCACAGTGAGATAACACGTTACTCCTGCAAGAATGGCCATAATTAAAACATAAAAGAAATAGGTGTTGGCTTGGATGTGGTGAAAAGAGAACACTTTTACACTGCTGGTGGGAATGTAAACTAGTACAACCACTATGGAAAACAGCATGGATATTCCTTAAAGAACTGAAGGTAGAACTACTATTTGACCCAGTAATCCAGCTACTGGGTATCTACCCAAAGGAAATAAGTCATTATATAAAAAAGACACTTGCACACACATATATGGCAGCACAATTCACAATTGCAAAAATATGGGACCAGCCTAAATGCCCATTGACCAATGAGTGGATTGAGAAAATGTGGTATATATACATCATGGAATATTACTCAGCCATAAAAAGGAATGAAATAATGGCATTCACAGCAACCTAGATGGAATTGGAGACCATTATTCTAAGTGAAGTAGCTCAAGAATGGAAAACCAAGTATCACATATTCTCACTTATATATGGGAGCTAAGCTATGAGGACACAAAGGCATAAGAATTATGTAATGGACAATAGATAGGTATTTAGACTAATTTCTAGACTGTAGCACTAAAAATAATGTGGAGGAAAATTCTAAATAAACAGAATGTTTCCATCCTTTGCAAGAAGAGAACATAAAATGCAAAATTTAAGAATTATCCCCTGCAGAATCCCAATTTAAAGATGAGGAAATCAAGGCTCACTGTAGCTAAGATATTTGATAGCTAATAGATTGCAGATATGAAGTTATGATAGTCAGTGATTTGCTGTAAATAAACTTTGTATGACAAAAAAAGAAAAAGAACTATGAAATGGATGTGGAGGACTTAGGGGGAGCAGGTGGGGGAAGAGGGTGAGAGATAAGAGACTACACATTGGGCACAGTGTATAATGTTCAAGTGACAGGTGCACCAATATCTCAGAAATTACCATTAAATAACTTATCCATGTAACCAAAAACCACCTGTTCCCCCAAAACTATTGAAATAAAATAAGAAACAGTTCTTATACAGCATTCAGTGTTCTATTAATTGAAGCTAGCAGAGCACCTAACACTTGGTGAGTGTTCCCAAAATATTTGTTGAATGAATAAATACAATAAATGAATGAATCTATTTGTCCAAAAAAAAAAAACACAAAAAACAAAAAACAAAAAAGAGTGTCTTGGCTATTCTTGGCTTTTTACTCTTCCATGTAAATTTTCAAATCAGCTTGCCAGGTTCCAGGATAACCTTATTGGAATTCTTCTTGGCATTGCATTGAATTTATAACTCCATTTTGGGAAAATTAACACCTTTATGGCATCGCATCTTCTTGGTCATAAACATGGAATTTATCTGCATGGAATTTATCTCATTTATTTAAATATTCCTTAATATCTTTCAGTAAAGTTTTTTCATTTTCCCCATAATCAGTCTTTTTCATACAAATGAAAATTCTGAGTTAAATGGAAAAGTGCCCTGTATTAATTTCCAAAGTGTTTATATAATTAACACTAATTTCCATTAGTAATCAGCTGCTGTTACAGGATTACAAGAAGAGCTCTTCAGGCTAAGTTTTCATCAATGAGGAACAAAGACTTGAAGGAAACCTCAACCCCAAGATGAGATTTTTAATTTGTTGATTTTCTCATCCACTTGTTCAAGGGGAAAAGAGAATGCTCACTGTTCAAGAAACACTCTGGGATTAAAATGGGTTTTCAAAAGTCATGTTCTTTCACTTATTCAACAGATGCTTTTTCTTCACATACCTGGCACCATATTGGGGACTACTAAGGGGCAAGTGAAAAGTACGTTGTAGTTGGTCCCTGTCCTCCTAGAATTTACAATGTCTCTATAGAGACACATCACGACTAAATTTCACAGCCCACAGCTTCAAACATCCTGGCCACAGATTTTGGCTTGTACTTCCCATTTGGTACAATGCAAGGTGTTGACACTGGAAAATGTGGTTCTCCTGTATTCCCACAATGTCCTTTGAAGAAAACTCTTGCCATCTGCCCTCTTTTTTAGGGAACCAATGGCTTCCCTTCTTCAATGATCTCTCCTATACCGTCAAAACAGAAAAGGAGCTGACCTCCTCAATTCACTAACTGATTTTTTTTTTCCTTAACATATGTGAGATTCTTGTATTATGTTGACTAGTATTTCTGTCACAAACTTTTTTTAATTTTGAATTTTTGTGAGTACACAGCAAGCACATATATTTATGGGTTACATGAGATTTTTTTCATAGTGAATGCTCTCTCAATGGGAGCCATTATATTACGTATTTATTAAATAATTCATTCATTCAACAAACATTAATATCCTATCATGCACCAGGGATAGTTAGCTGGCTGGTCTGTGCTTCTAGGTACAATGGTATGTGTCACCTTGTATACAGAAGCCATGGATTGTCAGGCCTGTGGCAGAATTCAAGAGAACTACTCCACAGCTTATTAACATTGCCCACTGAAGGATTTGTTTCCTGATTTGTTTTCCTCAGCAGAGTACTATGGCCAAGAAGATGGATGTCCATACCTCTAAATATATGGAGCCTTTTGGTTGGCACAGAACTATAAGTCAGCCTGCCTGGACTCTAAGCCTGGGACATTCTCAAAACAGAATTCACAAAATCTATATCTGAGTGATTTTTATAAACAAGGTAGTACATAGGAAATAACGTGGTGTGGGTGCTTAACGCACCTTTTTCAGGAGGTAAGCTGGATCTCTGCAAGACTTGAGATTTATTTTTAAAAGAAATCTATGCATTCTCTGAGTTTCATTATGAACCAGACTTGGGCTCACAGTACCAACTGTTGTCCAGAAAATTTTGTCTTTGGAAAATAAGATGTCCAAGGACATTCAGAAGACAATTTTCTTTATTATTATTATTATACTTTAAGTTCCAGGGTATATGTGCACAACGTGTAGGTTTGTTACATAGGTATACATGTGCCATGTTGGTTTGCTGCACCCATCAACTCGTCATTTACTTTAGGTATTTCTCCTAAAGCTATCCCTCCCCCAGCCCCCACCCCCCAGCAGGCCCAGTGTGTGATGTTCCCCGCGTGTCCATGTGTTCTCATTGTTCAACTCCCACTTATGAGCGAGAACATGTGGTGTCCGGTTTTCTGTCCTTGTGATATTTTGCTGAGAATGATGGTTTCCAGCTTCATCCATGTCCCTGCAAAGGACATGAACTCATACTTTTTTATGGCTGCATAGCATTCTATGGTGTATATGTGCCACATTTTCTTTATCCAGTCTATTATTGATAGACATTTGGGTTGGTTCCTAGTCTTTGCTATTGTGAATAGTGCTGCAATAAACATACGTGTGCACGTGTCTTTATAGTAGCAGGGTTACATGAGATATTTTGATACAAGCATGCAATGCATAATAATCGCATCAGGGTAAATGAGGTATCCATCACCTCAAGCATTTATCCTTTGTGTTACAAACAATCCAATTATACTGTTTTAGTTATTTTTAAATGTACAATTAAATTGTTTTTTACTATAGTCACTCTGTTGTGCTAGCAAATACTAGGTCTTATTCATTCTATTTTTTTGATACCCATTAAGCATCCCCCCTTGCCCCCCACCCACCCATCATAAGTCTTTTGTCACTGGTTAGGGAACAAAAGACTTTGTCTGCTATTGATGGAATATTATGTCGGCACTTGAGGGAATATTTTTTGGAGGAGGAGGGTTAACAAAGGAGAAAGAGAAAATTTGAAATTAAGTGGCTGTGTACAGCCATGAAGAGAAAGAGATTGAAGCTGCCCAACTTGCCCTGATAATATAAGAAGCCTAGAGTCCAGGGTAAAAGAAAAGGGGTGTTGGGTGGCTGGCAAGATGGTTGAATGGGAACAGCTCTGGTCTGGAGCTCCCAGCGAGATCAATTTAGAAGGCAGGTCATTTCTGCATTTCCAACTGAGGTACCCAACTCATCTCATTGGGACTGGTTAGACAGTGGGTGCAGCCCACGGAGGGTGAGCCAAAGCAGGGTGGGGTGTCACCTCACCTAGGAAGTGCAAGGGGTCAGGGAACTCCCCTAGCCAAGGGAAGCCGTGAGGGACTGTGCCATGAGGAACAGTGTGCTGCGGCCCAGATACTATGCTTTTCCCACAGTCTTTGCAACCCAAAGACCAGGAGATTCCCTTGGGTGCCTACGCCACCAGGGCCCTGGGTTTCAAGCACAAAACTGGGCAGCCATTTGGGCAGACACCAAGCTAGCTGCAGGAGTTCTTTTTCATACCCCAGTGGCACCTGGAATGCCAGCAAGACAGAACTGTTCACTCCCCTGGAAAGGGGGCTGAAGCCAGGGAGCCAAGTGGTCTAGCTCAGGGGATCCCACCTCCGCAGAGGCCAGCAAGCTAAGATGCACTGGCTTAAAATTCTCACTGCCAGCACAGCAGTCTGAAGTCCACCTGGGATGCTCAAGCTTGGTGGAAGGAGGTGCGTCTGCCATTACTGAGGCTTGAGTAGGCAGTTTTCTCCTCACAGTGTAAATAAAGCCGCTTGGAAATTTGAACTGGGTGGAGCCCACCACAGCTCCGCAAAGCCTCTGTAGCCATACTACCTCTCTAGATTCCTCCTCTCTGGCCAAGTCATCTCTGAAAGAAAGGCAGCAGCCCCAGTCAGGGGCTTATAGATAAAACTACCATCTCCCTGGCACTGAGCACCTGGGGGAAGGGGCAGCTGTGGGCACAGCTTCAGCAGACTTAAACATTCCTGCCCGCCAACTCTGAAGATAGCAGCAGATCTGCCAGCACAACACTTGAGCTCTGCTAAGGAACAGACTGCCTCCTCAAGTGGGTCCCTGACCCCCGTGCCTCCTGACTGGGAGACACCTCATACCGGAGAGCTCCAGCTGGCATCTGGCAGGTGCCCCTCTGGGAAGAAGCTGCCAGAGGAAGGAACAGGCAGCAATCTTTGCTGTTCTGCAGCCTCCACTGGTGATACCCAGCCAAACAGGGTCTGGAGTGGACCTCCAGCAAATTCCAGCAGACCTGCAGCAGAGAGGCCTGTTAGAAGGAAAACTAACAAACAGAAAGGAATAGCATCAACATCAACAAAAAGGATTTCCACACAGAAACTCCATCCGAAGGTCACCAACATCAAAGAACAAGGGTAGATAATTCCAAGAAGATGAGGAAAAACCAGTGCAAAAAGGCTGAAAATTCCAAAAACCAGAATGCCTCTTCTCCTCCAAAGGATCACAACTCCTCGCCAGCAAGGGAACAAGACTGGACGGGGAATGAGTTTGATGAACTGACAGAAGTAGGCTTCAGAAGGTGGGTAATCACAAACTCCTCCAAGCTAAAGGAGCATGTTCTAACCCAATGCAAGGAAGTTAAGAACCTTGAAAAAAGGTTAGACAAATTGCTAACTGGAATAAACAGTTTAGAGAAGAACATAAATGACCTGATGGAGCTTAAAAACACAGCACGAGAACTTCGTGAAGCATACACAAGTATCAATAGCCGAATTGATCAAGCAGAAGAAAGAATATCAGAGATTGAAGATCAACTTAATGAAATAAAGTGAGAAGACAAGATTAAAGAAAAAAAGAGTGAAAAGGAATGAACAAAGCCTCCAAGAAATATGGGACTATGTGAAAAGACCAAACCTATGTTTGATTGGTGTACCTGAAAGTGACAGGGAGAATGGAACCAAGTTGGAAAACACTCTTCAGGATATTATCCAGGAGAACTTCCCCAACCTAGCAAGACAGGCCAACATTCAAATTCAGGAAATACAGAGAACACCACAGAGATACTTCTTGAGAAGATTAACTCCAAGACACATAATATTCAGATTTACCAAGGTTGAAATGACAGAAAAAATGTTAAGTGCAGCCAGAGAGAAAGGTCGGGTTACCCACAAGGGGAAGCCCATCAGACTAACAGCAGATCTCTCGGCAGAAACCGTACAAGACAGAAGAGAGTGGGGGCCAATATTCAACATTCTTAAAGAAAAGAATTGTCAACCCAGAATTTCATATCCAGTCAAACTAAGCTTCATAAGCAAAAGAGAAATAAAATCCTTTACAGACAAGCAAATGGTAAGAGATTTTGTCACCACCAGGCCTGCTTTACAAGTGCCCTTGAAGGAAGCACTAAATATAAAAAGGAAAAATCAGTACCAGCCACTGCAAAAACATACCAAATTGTAAAGACTATCGACACTATGAAGAAACTGCATCAACTAACAGGCAAAATAACCAGCTAGCATCATAATGACAGGATCAAATTTACACATAAGAATATTAACCTTAAATGTAAATGGATTAAATGCCCCAATTAAAAGACACAGACTGGCAAATTGGATAAAGAGTCAAGAACAAATGGTGTGCTGTATTCAGGAGACTCATCTCACATGCAAAGAAACACATAGGCTCAAAATGAAGGGATGGAGGAATACTTACCAAGCAAATGGAAAGCAGAAAAAAAGCAAGGGTTGCAATCCTAGTCTCTGATAAAACAGACCTTAAGCCAACAAAGATCAAAAAAGACAAAGAAGGGCATTACATAATGGTAAAGGGACTGATGCAACAAGAGCTAACTATCCTAAATATATATTCACCCAATACAGGAGCACCCAGATTCCTAAAGCAAGTTCTTAGAGACCTACAAAGAGACTTAGACTCCCACACAATAATAATGGGAGACTTTAACACCCCACTGTCAATATTAGACAGATCAATGAGACAGAAAATTAGCAAGGATATTCAGGACTTGAACTCAGCCCTGGACCAAGCAGACCTAATAGACATCCACAGAACTCTCCACCCCAAATCAACAAAATATATATTCTTCTCAGCACCACATTGCACTTATTCTAAAATTGATCACATAATTGGAAGTAAAACACTCTTCAGCAAATGCAAAAGAATGGAAATCATAACAGTCTCCCAGATCATAGTGCAATCAAATTAGAACTCAAGATTAAGAAACTCACTCAAAACTGCACAACTACGTGGAAACTGAACAACCTGCTCCTGAATGACTACTGGGTAAATAACGAAATGAAGGCAGAAATAAATAAGTTCTTTGAAACCGATGAGAACAAAGACACACTATACCAGAATATCTGGGAAACAGCTAGCAGTGTTTAAAGGGGAATTTATAGCACTAAATGCCCAAAGGAGAAAGCGGAAAAGATCTAAAATCAACAATCTAACATCACAATTAAAAGAGCTACAGAAGCAAGGGCAAACAAATTCAAAAGCTAGCAGAAGACAAGAAATAACTAAGAACAGAGCAGAACTGAAGGAGATAGAGATGTGAAAACCCCCTCAAAAAATCAATGATTCCAGGAGCTGGTTTTTTGAAAAGATTAACACAATAGATAGATGGCTAGCCAGACTAATAAAGAAGAAAATAAAGAAGAATCAAATAGACACAATAAATAATGATAAAGGGGATATCACCACTGATCCCACAGAAATACAAACTACCATCAGAGAATACTATAAACACCCCTACACAAATAAACTAGAAATCTAGAAGAAATTGATAAATTCCTGGACACATACACCCTCCCAAGACTAAACCAGCAAGAAGTGGAATCCCTGAATAGACCAATAACAAGTTCTGAAATTGAGGCAGTAATTAATAGCATACCAACCAAAAAAAGCCCAGGACCGGATGGATTCACAGCCAAATTTTACCAAGAGGAGCTGGTACCATTCCATCTGAAACTATTCCAAACAATAGAAAAAGAGGGACTCCTCCCTAGCTCATTTTATGAGGCCAGCATCATCCTTATATCAAAACCTGGCAGACACACAACAAAAAAAGAAAATTTCAGGCCAATATCCCCAATGAACATCAACGTGAAAATCCTCAATAAAATACTGACAAACCAAATCCAGCAGCACATCAAAAAGCTTATCCACCATGATCAAGTCAGTTTCATCCCTGGGATGCAAGGCTGGTTCAACACATGCAAATCAATAAACGTAATTCATCATATAAACAGAACCAATGACAAAAACCATATGATATCTAAATAGACGCAGAAAAGACCTTCAATAAAATTCAACATCCCTTCATGCTAAAAACTCTCAATAAACTAGGTATTGATGGAACATATCTCAAAATAATAAGAGCTATTTATGACAAACCCATAGTCAATATTATACTGAATGGGCAAAAGCTGGAAGCATTCCCTTTGAAAACCAACACAAGACAAGGATGCCCTCTCTCACCACTCCTATTCAACATAGTATTGGAAGCTCTGGCCAGGGCAATCAGGCAAGAGAAAGAAATAAAGGGTATTCAAATAGGAAGAGAAGAAGTCAAATTGTCTCTGTTTGCAGAGGACACAATTGTATATTTAGAAAACCCCATCGACACAGCCAAAAATCTCCTTAAGCTGATAAGCAACTTCAGCAAATTCTCAGAATACAAAATCGATGCACAAAAATCTCAAGCATTCCTACACCCCAATAATAGACAAACAGAGAGCCAAATCATGAGTGAACTCCCATTCACAATTCCTACAAACAGAATAAAATATCTAGGAATCCAACTTACAAGGGTTGTGAAGGACCTCTTCAAGGAGAATTACAAACAACTGCTCAAAGAAATAAGAGAAGACACAATCAAATGGAAAAACATTCCATGCTCATGGATAGGAAGAATCAATATCATGAAAATGGCCAAGCTGCCCAAAGTAATTTATAGATTCAATGCTATCCCCATCAAGCTACCATTAACTTTCTTCACAGAATTAGAAAAAACTACTTTAAATTTCATATGAAACCAAAAAAGAGCCTGTATAGCCAAGACAATCCTAAGCAAAAAGAACAATGCTGGAGGCATCACGCTACCTGACTTCAAACTATACTACAAGGCTACAATAACCAAAACAGCATGGTAGTAGTACCAAAACAGAGATATAGACCAATGGAACAGAACAGAGGCCTCAGAAGTAATGCCACACATCTACAACCATCTGATTTTTGACAAACCTGACAAAAACAAGCAATGGGGGAAGGATTCCCTATTTAATAAATGGTGTTGGGAAAACTGGTTAGCCATATTCAGAAAACTGAAACTGGACCCTTTCCTTACACCTTATACAAAAATTAACTCAATATGGATTAAAGACTTAAACATAAGACCTAAAACCATAAAAACCCTAGAAGAAAACCTAGGCAATACCATTCAGGACATAGGCATGGGCAAAGACTTCATGACTAAAACACCAAAAGCAATGGCAACAAAAGCCAGAATTGACAAATGGCATCTAATCAATCTAAAGAGCTTCTGCACAACAAGAGAAACTATCATCAGAGTGAAAAGGCATCCTACATAATGTGAGAAAATTTTTCAATCTATCCATCTGACAAAGGGCTAATATCCAGAATCTACAAAGAATTTAAACAAATTTACAAGAACAAACCACCGCATCAAAAAGTGGGTGAAGGATATGAACAGACACTTCTCAAAAGAAGACATTTATGCAGCCAACAAACATGAAAAAAAAGCTCATCATCACTGGTCATTACAGAAATGCAAATCAAAACCACAGTGAGATACTATCTCATGCCAGTTAGAATGGCAATCATTAAAAAGCCAGGAAAAAACAGATGCTGGAGAGGATGTGAAGAAATGGGAATGCTTTTACACTGTTAGCAGGAGTGTAAATTATTTCAACCATTGTGGAAGACAGTGTGGCGATTCCTCAAGGATCTAGAACCAGAAATACCATTTGACCCGGCAATCTCATTACTGGGTATTTACTCAAAGGATTATAAATCATTCAACTATAAAGACACGTGCACACGTATGTTTACTGCAGCAGTGTTCACAATAGCAAAGGCTTGGAACCAACCCAAATGCCCATCAGTGATAGACTGGATAAAGAAAATGTGGCACATATACCCCATTGAATATTATGCAGCCATAAAAAAGGATGAATTTATGTGTTTTGCAGGGACATGGATGAAGCTGGAAACCATCATTCTCAGCGAACTAACACAAGAACAGAAAACCAAACACTACATGTTCTCACTCATAAGTGGGAACTGAACAATGAGAACACATGAACACAGGGAGGGGAACATCACACACCAGGGCCTGTCAAGGGGTGGGGGACTAGAGGAGGCATAGCATTAGGAGAAATACCTAATGTAGATGACGGGTTGATGAGTGCAGCAAACCACCATGGCACGTGTATACCTATGTAACAAACCAGCACATTTTGCACATGTATCCCAGAACTTAAAGTATAATAAAAAAAAGAAAGACAGACAGAAAGAAAGAAAGAAAGAAAGAAAGAAAGAAAGAAAGAAAGAAAGAAAGAAAGAAAAAGAAAAGGGGTACACATCCCCCAGCCCGCAACTTCCCACAGGAAAAATAACTTGAAACTATGAAATATGATAAAACTGGCAAAAAGTATATTCCTTCATAGGCAGGCAAATTGTGCAGGATAAGTTACATTTCCATTTTTCAACAATAGAAATTATATATCTTTCACCAAGATAGGAAAGAAAATCTAAGAGCACTTTTGCATAACCCAAATTCCAGTTATTCCATCTCTGTGTCGCTGCATCAACTGACTTTATGTTGACACGTGTGCAGTTCTACATTGCTGGGTTCATACATTTCATATTTTTCTTTCAATCATGAGACAGTTTAGGTATGTTTAGTTGTGGTTTCTTTTTAGAATAACATTTTTTGGAATAAAATATTTGGAGAGAAATTTAGAAAGTTTCAATGATTTTACTATTTTATTGATAAAAGAAATATAAGTGGGTCATTTGCCAACTCTTTATTCAACAAGAACGATTGTTGACTTACCCATCAGTGTTTGTTTCTGGACTTTCTGCAGCATTGTGCAACACAGTAGTCATTAGCCACATGTGTCTATTTAAACTTTAATTCAGATTAAACAAAATTTAATATTCAGTTCTTCAGTCACCCATGCCACATTTCAAGTGCTCAATAGTCACATATAGCAAGTGGCTACTGTACCAGACAGCACAGATATAGAACATTTTCATCACAGAAAGTTTTGTTATATAGTGCTATTCTTGATCATTCGGGAAAAACATTTTAATATTAGAAAAAAAATCTTTCTGTTTTCTCCCTAGCTCTTTTCCTCCTCCCTCCCTCCCTCCCTCCCTTTCTATCACTGCCTCTTCTTCTTACATGGGATTCAGAATTCCTTGAAGAGATTGGACAGGATTCTCCAGGGTTTGTGGGTGTGAATAAACTTCTGAACTCTATAGCAATGACCCCAAACTTGTTATATTGTGTAACCCACCAGTAAGAAAGCTTGAGCCACATCAAAGAAAATTTTTGAAGGATAACCTAAATAGGAAATAAATATTTAATGTTTTTATAAATTTATTAATAGTTCTGTTCATTATAATGAATAGTTACCATTAAGATAGAATTAAAATATGTCTATTATTTGGATTCTGAATTCAACATAATTCAGTCTCCTTTAATTTTTTTTAAAAAGGCAACATTTTGCAATAAAATAATTTGAAGATGTATTCTTTCAAGGCTTTGATTGCTGTCATAGCTAAAAAATACTTCTCACAAAAAGTAAACATAGTAAGGACATCACTTAATGTGCTGCCCTAAATTATGAAACTCATTTTTCCATCTCTTTCACTGCTTACTATGCAAAGATTCTTGTTGACACTTGGCAAATAAATGACCACGTTCCCTGATGTTCCTCCAAACTAATCATAGGGTGATGTGTTTTTAAATATTTAACAAAGTGTTTCTGTCCAAATCTACTGAAACACTCCATTTGGAAGCTTTTAAAAAAGCTCAGTAATTATGTTCCAAGGTCTCCTGTCCCCCTTGTTTCATTGTGGTAAAAACACATAACAAAATTGACCATCTTAACCATTTTTAATTGTATAGTCCAGCAGTGTTAAGTATAGTCACATTGTTGTTGAGACAGATCTCAAGACTTTCATTGTGTAGATGTGAAACTCTATATCGGTTAAACAACTCCCCTTTTTCCCCCTCCCCTCTCTCTAGCTTCTGGCAACTCCATTCTACTTTATGTTGTATAAATTTGACTACTCTAGATACCTCATATAGGTGGACTCATACAGGACTTGTCTTTCTGTGACTGCCTTCTTTCACTTAGCATAATGTCTTCAAGGTTCATCCATGTTGTAGGATTTTCTTCCTTTTAAAGGATGAATAATACTTCACTGTGTGTATGTATGTGTGTGGATATATATGTATGTGATATATATTATATATATATAACATTTGTTTATTCATTCATCCATCGATGAACATTTGGGTTGTTCCTACCTCTTGGTTATTATGAATAGTGCTACGATAAACACGGGTGTGCAAATATTTCTTTGAGACTCTACTTTCAATTCTTTTGGTTATATACTCAAACGTGGGATTACCATATCATATGACAGCTCTGTTTTTAATTTTTGGGAAACCTCCATACTATTTTTCACAGCACTTGCACAATTTTACAATCCCACCAACAATGCACAAAGAGTCTAGTTTCTCCACATCCTTGCCAACACTTGTTATTTTCCAGTTTTTTGACAGTAGCATCTAATGGGTATGAGGTGACAACTCACTGTTTTGATTTGCAGTTCTCTGATGATTAGCGATGAGCATCTTTTCATATGCTTGTTGAACATCTTTATATCTTCTTCGGAGAAATGTCTATTCAAGTCCTTTGCCCACTTTTAAACTAGGTTATTTGATTTTTGTTTTTGCTGTTGAATTGTTGGAGTACTTTACACATTCTGGATATTAGCCATTATCAGATATATGATTTACAAACATTTTCTCCTATTCATAGGTTTTCCTATCACTCTGTGGATTGTGTGGTTTTTGTGTACAGTTCAGCAGTGTTTCGTTTTGTTTTTGAAACATGGTCTCGCTCTGTCTCCCAGGCTACAGTGCAGTGGCTTGATCTGGCCTCCCAAGTAGCTAAGATACAGGTGCACACCACCACACCCAGCTTATTTTTTTTGGAAATGAGATTTTGCCATGTTGCCCAGGCTGGTCTTAAACTTCCGGGCTCAAGTGATCCTCCTGCCTTAGCCTCCCGAATAGCTTGGTGTACAGGTGCATACCACTATTCCCGGCTAATTTTTTTTTTTAGAGATGGGGGTCTCCCTATGCTGCACAGGCTGGCCTTGAACTCCTGGTTTCAAGCAATCCTCTTTCCTTGGTCTCCCAGAGTGCTGGGATTACCGGCCTGAGCTACTGTGCCCAGCTTGGATTGTGCTCTCTGATGCACAAACTTCTAAAGTTTGATGTAGTCTCATTTGTCTAGTTTTGCTTATGTTATCTGTGCTTTTGGTGTCTTATCTATTCTTGTCATTGCCAACAACGTCATGAAGTTTTCCCCTATATTTTCTCCTAGAAGTTTTATAATTTGAGATCTTACTTTTAGGTCTTTAATGCATCTTGAGTTAATTTTTGTATATGGTATAGGACAAGGGTCCAAATTCATTCTTTTGCATCCAATTTTCCCACTACTGTTTGTTAAAGAAACTGTCCTTTCCCCACTGAATGGTCTTGGCACCCTTGTTGAACATCATTTGACCATAGATGTGGGCTGTCTATTCGATTCCATTGATCTATTTGTCTGTCTTTATGCCAGTACCACACTATTTTGATTACTGTAGTTTTGCAATGTTTTGAAATCAATAACTGCTAGTCCTCCAACTGTGTTCTTCTTTTTCAAAATTATTTTGGCTACTCAGGGTGCCTTGAGATCCCATATAAATTTTAGGATAAATTTTTCTATTTTACAAAAAATGCCATTGGTATTTTAATAGAGATTGTATTTAATCTATAGATCTCTTTGGGTAGTAGTAACATCTTAATAATATTAAGTATCCAATCCATGAACAGAGGCTGTCCTTTTATTTATTTCTCTCTTCTTTAATTTTTTTCAACAATGGTTTTGAAGTTTTCAGTGTACAAGTCTTTCAACTCGTTGGTTAGGTTTATTCCTAAGGATTTTATTCTTCTTAATGCTATTATAAATGAAATTCCTTTCTTAATTTCCTTTTCAGATTATTCATTGTTTTTCCCAAGTTTTTTTTTAATATGGCAGGAGGAGAGTTGGCAAATGATTCACTTATATTTCTTTTATCAATAAAATAATATAATCATAGAAACTTACCAAATATTTATCCCCATATTTTATTCCAAAAAATGTTACTTTCTCCCTCAATACTAAAATACTATTTTCACCTTGATGGTACAGTTTGTGTTTGTTTTTTATTGTATTACTTTCTATAAAATTTTTATTATAAACAATTTTAAACACATAAATGTAGGAGGATAATGGTGTAATGATCTGCCATATAGCCAATACCTACATTTAATTATTCTTAATATTTTACCAGATTTGCTTCATCTAATTTTTACCTCAGTATTTAATATTAAGTATCTAATATTTACCTAAGTATTAATAATAAGCTACAAACAATGACAATTCACCTCGTAATATTTTCATATACATCTCTAAAAAAGCAGGATTTTTCTTACATAACCACTATCTTAGCTTGTTCAGACTTCTGTGACAAAATACTGGTGGCTGGGCACCGTGGCTCCCACCTGTAATCCCAGTACATTGAAAGGCCTAAGAGGGAGGATCACTGGAGCCCAGAAGGTCGAGGCTGCAGTGAGCCATATTCGCACCACTGCACACCAGCCTGGGCAACGGAATGAGAGCCTATCTCAAAAAAAATACCATAAGCTGGATAGCTTATAAACAATAAAATTTATTTCTCACAGTTCTGAAGGCTGGGAAGTGCACAGGGCGCCATCTTGGTGAGGATCCTCCTCCAGGTTGCAGAATGACAACTGTTTGTTTTGTACTCACGTGGTGGAAGGGCTAATGAGTTCTCGGGGGTCTCTTTTATGACAGCACTAATTCCATCCATTAGGGCAGAGCCCTTATGACATAATCACTTTCTAAAGGCCCCACCTCCTAATGAATTTTGGGGGTGACACAAACATTCAGATCATAGCAGCCGCTATATCATTATCATACCTAACAAAATGAACGATCATTCTTTTATATTACCTAGTACCCAATCTGTGTTCCAGTTTCCCCAATTGTTGTCAAAATGTCTTGCAGTTGGTCCATTTGTGCCAAGATCCATGCAAGGGCTATACATTTCAACCTGTTCAGCATCGGGGCACTAAATTTAGCAATGTGTCTGGACAAGACTGCATTAGCCTGGGAAGGCAGAGGGAACATAGAAGGCTGTGTTCCTGCCTGAGAGTCTGGGACCTTAACAACGTGGCATATCATCAACTCTGGGAGTGATGAGGTGCTCCTGGCGGTAGTGCAGAAGTCTGGAGCTGGAAAAACAATTAGGCTTCCAGAAGATCTGATGGGATTCTCACCTGATCAGATGTTACCATCTGACACTGTGTGGCTCTGGGAATAAATATAGTAGACAAGTTTACACCTCTGCATGGTCCCGTTAGTATTCCTAATCTCTTTGCGGTGAATTCTGACCATGCCAGCTTCCTTCCCCATTCATGATATAAGTGAACCTTACTGACTTACCCATCAGTGTTTGTTTCTGGACTTTCTGCCGATCTGAGCCCTTCCTGTCATTTGTCAGTTCTATTGATAGTCACTTGTCTTCCCAGAATAGTTTCCCAAATTTGAAACATTTGACATCTTGTCATAAAGGAAAACTGTGTAACTCATTTTTAAAGAACCTGACCACAAGATAATTAGTGAACTTCCTGTGCAGGCAAAAGATTTTCATCCCCATCCTTTTATAAAACGTCCCTATAAAGCAAGCTACATTAATGGAGCATCTCTTTTATTTCATTTTATTTCATTTTATTTATCTAAAAATTTTTTAAAAACTTAAATCTTTTTTAGTTTTTATGGGGGAAGGGCACAGAGCTTCCATGCCCTCCCTGGGTGCGCCACCTCCAGGAATCTCCACATGTTCAGGTATCCAGAAGCTCAGTATCTCTGGCTTTGATCTCTGTGCTGTAACACCTGGCCTATGAAACAATGGTTATTTATGGGAAAAAATATAACATATAATAATAACATATAACAATAGGTTATTTATGGGAAATTCAATATTCTTACTGCGAAGTCCTTTCTGTTCCCCTTCCAAATCAAAGCAGACGACTCTTGGCAGCGTTTTTGTGTTTCACTTTTCATCAAACACTGTTTTTTCTTTGTTTTGTTTTTTTCTTTTTTTCTAACCACTAGATGATGTGGAACATCAAACACTGGTTTTTTTCCGTAAGTCATTATTATTGAGATTATATCTTATCTGGTTCATCTTTCCTTTCATGGCTTATTAAAAAGTGGCTCTTTCAATCTATGACTGACATAGAGTCTAACAAGCACTGTAAGCTAGGACGTGTTAGAAGCATCTGTACTTTTATCAAACTGTGTCGCAGATTTCCCACCAGTGTAATTTGTTGTAATGTTTTCCAAATCTTTGGCAATATTTTCTATATTTCTTCCACTTATTTGACCAGCAAGGACTGCACTTTAATTTTGCCCCTATGTTGCCTCCAGATATTCTTTCCATTGTTTTTATTCTAGCAGAATGAGACAACTGTTTATAAATAGTGTGCTTTTCATCTTTTACTCTTACATAAGAAATCTCAAAAGAGGCTTTGTAAGTATTTATCATTAAGTTCAATAAAATTTTGTAAAGGTTTATCATGACTTTTAAAATAAAGTAATAAAAAACTGGAGTTTTTTCATCCTTGGGATGCTTTTTTTTTTTTTTTTTTTTTTTTTTGAGATGGAGTCTCATTCTGTTGCCCAGGCTGGAGTGCAGTGATGCAATCTCAGCTCACCGCAACCTCTGCCTCCTGGGTTCAAGCAATCCTTGTGCCTCAGCTTCGTAAGTAGCTGGGACTACCAGGGTGCACCACCACACCTGGTTAATTTTTGTATTTTTAGTAGAGATGGGGTTTCGCTATGTTGGCCAGGCTGGTCTCAAACTCCTGGCCTCAAGTGACCTGCCGGCCTTGGCCTCCCAAAGTGCTAGGATTACAGGCATGAGCCACTGCACCTGGCCTAGGATGCTTTTTTAAAAAAAATAAAAAGTCATATTAATCATGATAACTTTATGTTAAATTGAACTGTATTGAATTCCTAATTTTATATCAAAATATAGATAAATGTTGTCAACTCCATATGATCCAGCCTAATACTATTTGATTTCTTGATTTCTCAAGACATATACACCTAAGACAAGGTTAAACTAGCAAGAGTGGCTATAAAGCCATAATCTAGAAAGAATTCTTAATAGTTTTGACTTTTTTTTAAACCAACTAAACCAACTATTGGTCAGCACTGATTAGACTGTCATTGTTTTGAACCTGATGTTTATTGATACTAGGAATGGAGACTCAGCTCCCCCATTTTCTCATAGAGTCTGCTTGACTTGCCTCATTAGTCTCTTCAATCTGTCAGTTCTTTGAAGCAATTCTTTTTAAGCCACTTGTTCATTTGGAGAGTATAACCCATAAATCTAGTTGGCAGGCACATTTAAACCACAGAGAGGGTGTGAGGATGCCACAGGCAGCACCCCTCTTCTTGGGGAGCACCTCTCTTTCTTTGGGATCCCCCACTCCGTGGGAGCCTCATAACCCGTGACCCAGCGAGGATGTCGGTGTCTGTTGATACATGCAATATTAACAAGGCTTTAAATACAAATTAAATAGCCCTAGGTATTACATTTTATTTCTGCCCTCCAGCATGGGCACTTCCTTTTTAGGAGGTCACTGTTCTAGGTTGGGGGTGGTGGCTCACGCCTGTAATCCCAGCACTTTGGGAGGCCGAGGTGGGCAGATCACTTGAGCTCAAGAGTTCGAGACCAGCCTGGGCAACATGATGAAAGCCTGTCTCTTCCTAAAATACAAAAATTAGCTGGGCATGGTGGCGTGCACCTGTGGTCCCAGCTACTCAGGAGGCTGAGGTGGGAGGATCACTTGAGCCTGGAAGGTGGAGGCTGCAGTGAGCCGACATCACTCCACTGCACTCCAGCCTGGGTGAGAGAAGGAGACCCCATCTAAAAAAAAAAAAAAAAGAGAGTGAGAGAGAGAGATCACTGTTCATTATGACCGTGGGTGCATCCTCTACAACAGGCTGCCCATCACTCTCCAGTCCCACCAGCAACTCATCAGACTCAGCCTGTGGTTGATGGCCCAGCCTCTCTCTTGAGAGTTATGTTCGCAAGAAACCACCTTCCCTGTCTGTTCTTCTCTAGTCTGCCCTTACCCCACATTCTGTATTCTTAACCTAACATGCTTCTGTGGAGTCTCAGGTGCGGCATGTGTACACATTGCATTAGTAAGAACTGGCCTTCAGTCTGGCAAGGGAGGAAACTAATTTCTAAACTGGAAAGCACTACACAGACATTGGAGCAACGTTCTTTTCAGGCCCAGCTCAGGACTACTGGATCCAAGTCTCTGGGGCATGGCCTGGAGGTCTACACCTTTATCCACCTTCCTACTTGTTACACACAGTTATGTGTATTTAAATTTCAGAACTTCAGAATTAGACCTCACATTACCTGCCTACTCTTATTTTAGGAAATTTCTGACAATGCTATATGATGTCAGAGAGCACTCTCTTTATTAAGAGTGAACTTAAAGGCACGTGATCAGCACTGCACTTTTTTTTTTTGTTTGAGGCGGAGTCTCGCTCTGTCGCCCAGGCTGGAGTGCAGCGGTGCGATCTAGGCTCACTGCAAGCTCCATCTTCTGAGTTCACGCCATTCTACTGCCTCAGCCTCCCAAGTAGCTGGGACTACAGGCGCCCACCACCACGCCCGGCTTATTTTTTGTATTTTTAGTAGAGACGGGGTTTCACTGCGTTAACCAAGATGGTCTCTATCTCCTGACCTCATGATCCACCCGCCTCAGCCTCCCAAAGTGCTGGGATTACAGGCGTGAGCCACTGCGCCCGGCCTAACACTGCACTTTTTGAATGAATAATTCCTCTGGGCTTCTGAGAGAAAGATAACTTTTTGTGCTAGTTGGTTAGGGGAAAAAATCTACATTGAGTCTGCTGTTGAGGACTGTAGAATTTCAATTAAGAATCGAGTATCGGAATAACAAAGGGGGAAAGACGTGAAGTCAGGGAAGATTTGTGGTCTTGTTCTTCTGGTTCTCAAAGAGCTGGAAGGATTCCATTCTTTAAAAAAATCAAAATTATTAAGAAAACTTTCTGAACTGTGGATTTATGTCTACTCTTACTAGTTTTAAACCTTGCCTTAGGTTAATGTGTTTTGAGAAATTAAGTAATGATTGCATTATACTGAGTCATATGGGTCCACAGAGAAGGCTTTTTGTGGAGTGTGTGTTTGTCTCTAGACATGGCTTTGAGCAAGGTATCTATGCAGTGCTTGAAACAGAGGAAGAAAAAGGAACTTCTGATGGAATGTGGGCCCCAGGATAGCGTGGGGCTGCTGGCTCCAGGCAACAGTCCAGACACAGCCAGGCAGGACCATGGAAAGGCTAGGCCTGAGTCCCATGATTTTTTTCTAAATCAAGTCCTACAGAGATGTTGGAAGCAGTGCTCAATAAAAAATAATTAGCATAAAGAACTTTAATAACAAACACTCAGGAACTCCCTGGATAGGAGAAGAAACAGAGGAAGGAAATGAGGAAGCAGGGGACTCGCCATTATGACCAACCCCACTCCACCGCAGAGACTGTCTGTCTACACAACCAGCAGTGCTGGGCTGAGATTCCTCCAAGAGCACGGCTTACTGAGCTCCCCCTGACTTTCATTGATCAGGTTGAGGGTCATGAAATAAAGTGGGTATATACCCAAAGGATTATAAATCATGCTACTATAAAGACACATGCACACATAAGTTTATTGCAGCACTATTCACAATAGCAAAGACTTGGAACCAACCCAAATGTCCATCAATGATAGATTGGATTAAGAAAATGTGGCATATATACACCATGGAATACTATGCAGCCATAAAAAAGGATGAGTCCATGTCCTTTGCAGGGACATGGATGAAGTTGGAAACCATCATCATTGTCAGCAAACTATCACAAGGACAGAAAACCAAACACCGCATGTTCTCACTGGGAATTGAACAATGAGAACACTTGGACACAGCGCGGGGAACATCACACACCGGGGCCTGTCTGGGCCTGGGGGGTTGGGGGAGGGATAGCATTAGGAGAAATATGTAATGTAAATGACGAGTTGATGGGTGCAGCAAACCAACATGGCACATGTATACCTATGTATTGAACCTGTACTTTGTGCACATGTACCCTGGAACTTAAAGTATAATAATAATTTTAAAAACTTGTTTTGTTCAGAAGAAAAAAAGAAAGAAGAAAGAAAGAAAGAGAGAAAGAGAGAAAGAGAAAGCAAGCAAGCAAGCATACTCTGTTCCTTCAGCAATGGCTCTGGCGATTTGAAATCCTCTCCTGCTTGTCATTCTGAACTGGGTGTGTGACAAGGAAATCTAGATGCAGATAGCTAGATATGGTGCACAAAGAATTCAGGTCAACCCATAAGCTCTCTCTCCTGGGCTAAAGTGAAATGGAACCAAGGCATGTCCTTGCCTTAAGGTTATAACAGATAATCCATAAAGATGGGCACTTAGCAGAGGCTCTATTAGTTTCCCAGGGCTGCCATAACAAAGTACCACAAATTGGGTGGCTTACATCAGAAATGAACTGTCTCACAGTTCTGGAGGCTGGAAATCTGAAATCGAGGGGTTGACAGGGCCGTGCTCCCCCTGAAAACCTGTAGGGGAGAATTCTTCCTTGCCCCTTTCAGCTCCTGGTGTTGCTGGCAATCCTTAGTGTTCCTCAGCTTGTAGATGTCACTCTAATCTCTGCCTCTGTCTTCACATGGCCATCTTTCTCTGTGTCTGTCTCTCTTCTTCTTTTAAGGACCCCAGTCATGTTGGAGTAGGGCTCCCCTACTCTAGTATGACCTCATACCTATTACAGCTGCAATGACCCTATTTTCAAATAAGGTCACAGTCTAAGGTTCCAGGGGGTAGGACTTCAACTTATCTTTTTGGGGAATACAATTCAACCCAGCATAGGGCATAACGAGTATCTGTTGGAGGAGTGGCAAAAGGTCCTTCCAGCACTGACGTTGTATGTCTCTATAAATGAGACAACCCAACACGAAGGGCTGTAAAAGCAAGAAGCTCCACACGCAGGAACACCATGGCTGCATCCCACGACTGTCCATGGGGACAAGGTCGACTGGTCATATCATTCTGGCTTCTGGCTCTGCCATCAGGTTTTGCGTCATTCAGATCCAGACAGGCTAGGTCCTGACTGCTGTTCAATCAACATACATAATTACATCCTCTAGCCATAGGAGAGCTCTGTTCAAGAATATTTCTTCCTGCCGGGTATGGTGGCTCACGCCTGTAATCCCAACACTTTGGGAGGCCCAGGTGGGCAGATCACTTGAGGCCAGGAGTTCAAAAGCAGCCTGGCCAACATGGCAAAACCCCATCTCTACTAAAAATACAAAAAAAATTAGCCAGGCACAGTGGCATGTACCTGTAATCCCAGCTACTCGCAAGGCTGAGGCGGAAGAATCGCTTGAATCCAGGAGGTGGAGGTTGCAATGAACTGAGATCATGTCACTGCACTCCAGCCTGGGTGACAGAGCGAGACTCTGTCTCAAAAAAAAAAAAAAAAAAAATTCTTCCTACCTGTAGAATTAATTGATGGTCATAATAAGAGCCCAGTGACACTGCACAGTCTAGGGGTATCTTCTGAATCATCAAAGAACAACAAAAATATCTTCGAAAAGTGTTCCTGTGAAGTGTGTTTGAGTGATTTCTTTGAAGTTCACAGTATTAGGTTAAGTCCCTTGAAAGGAGAGACGGAGAGAGGATTTGGGTACAGGGGATTTATTGAGGGTAACTCAGCAGAAGACAGATGAGTGAAGTAGGAGGGGGCAGGGGAAGGAACTGAGCAAAGATGTGGTCTTAGCTGGAGTCCAACTTAGCTCCGAAGCAGGAACTGCACCACAGAGCTGGTCCCACTTTAAGGCAAAAGGGCTGGCCCTTTGTACCCCCATGTCAGTCAGTCATTGGCTGTGGGCTGCGGGAGAGAGGGCAGAACTAACAGAGCAAGGAAGATCTTGCACAAGGAAAAATCTTCAGAGAAGAGGGGCGACTGTGAGCTGATAGCAGCCAACACTCACAGCAGCTGGGAGATGGCTGCACTAGACTGGCTAATACAGGGGACCGGAATACAGCCCCCACGACATCCTCTCCAGTTGGTAATGCATGCATGGAAGAGAAAGGGTGTGTGCCTGGATGTGGTCACCTACATCGACTAGCTCTTGAAAGGCCAAGATTCTGGGTTAGCCTGGAAATCTCACCTCTCAACACTGCTAGAAAACCCTGGTCATAGTGTTTCATTATTCCCAACATCCAGAGGCCACCAATAAAGACCAATTCTCCTAGTGTGTGGAAGCATTGTGAACACTCAGGCGTCTCATTAGTGTATTTCCTACACCCATCTCAGGGTGGTTTATGCCGCAGGGAAGCATTTGAGAGCTCCTGCATTCAGGCTGCTTTGAGTAACAGTGGGCAAGAAATGCTATTAAATCAGGCGTGCTTGTTGATGGAACATCTTCGCCTTTATAATTGTGTCTGGGGATATAAAATGTCATTGGTGGGCAAATGCTTTGTAACAACACAATCTTACCCAAAGACTTATTGATGGTTGGATTATGATGGAGAAGTGCTCAAATAACTATTGATTTCTACTGTATTGTGTGGAGGCGGGGAAGATATATTGCTATGATTTTACCGTCCTCTCCACAATTAACGAGTTGCCTTTTGGTAAGGAACGGCTGGGCACTTGTTTAACCATTAGGTGGCGCTGTCTCCGCGGTAAAGCAGGGCAATGCTGTAGCTACATTGTTAAAATTACTTAGTCACAATGTTACAATGTTACATAGTTGCAATGCTGTAAATCCATAACTGAGGCCATCTCTGAATTAAAAGTAATTTCCCAATTGTCTAAGGTGATGCACAGGACAGGAAAAAGCAAGGTCCACCATAACCACAATGAGCAAGTGGTGGGGTCAAACAGGCTTATTGCAGTTTCTTCAGGGGGCTTCAGGATGGAGAGCCGAGGTCTCAGATCTACTGATGTTTTAACAGCATCCTACCCTTTGAGCACCACCCCTAGCTAGCAGAAGGATGTTAGTATGAACAATGGAGCCACATCTGAGGTTGAAAAAAAGGCAGCTGGGAGAAGAGGTAGTTTTGCTCAAACTATCTGTATCAATAATTATGGAAGCAGGAGGAAAGACAATATTTATTTATATAGCTTTCTATTTATAAAAGAAAAATATGGCCGGGTGCAGTGGCTCACGCCTGTAATCCCAGCATTTTGGGAGGCCGAGGTGGGCGGATCACGAGGTCAGGAGATCGAGACTATCCTGGCTAACACGGTGAAACCCCGTCTCTACTAAAAATACAAAAGATTAGCCAGGCGTGGTGGCAGGCGCCTATAGTCCCAGCTACTTGGGAGGCTGAGGCAGGAGAATGGCGTGAACCCGGAAGGCGGAGCTTGCAGTGAGCCGAGATCGGGCCACTGCACTCCAGCCTGGGCGACAGAGCAAGATTCTGTCTCGAAAAAAAAAAGAAAGAAAGAAAGAAAAATATATCAATGAAACACTGTGAAAACACACAGATAGTATTTTTCCAAACATTTCAAATCACCCCTCCTCTCAGTGTACCTGTTTTGAATATGGTCTACTCCCCTGGTATTTATGTATATATGATTTTTATATGTAAGTAGTTAACACGTATATGTAATATAAGCATATGTATTTATAATTTACATCTCCCTATATGATTTACCAAAATAAGGACCTCCTGTACACTCTGCTTTGCAGTCTGCAATCTATAGCAGTCAATATTATTTTACTGACTCAATATTATTTAGAACCTGACTATAGGACTGTGAAGTAATCCGTCATATTGTCACACTTTGATCACCTAGCTGCTTCCCAGGTGCCTTAGTCCATTTTCTGTTGTTTGGAAAAGAATATCTGAAACTGGGTACGTTATAAAGAAAAGGAATTTATTTCCAACAGTTATGGAAGCTGAGAAGTCCAAGGTCAAGGGGGTGCATATGGTGAGGGCCTTCTTGCTTTGCTAGTGGGGACTCTGCAGAGTCCTGAGGTGGCTCAGGGCATCACATGGTGAGGAGCTGAGTGTGCTAGCCCAGGTCTCTCTTCCTCTTCTTATAAAGCCACCAGTCCCACTCCCATGATAACTCATTGATGTGTTAACCCTCTATTCATGAATGCATTAATCCATTCATGAGGGCTGAGCCCTCATGACCCAACCACCTCTTAAAGACCCCACCTCTCAATACTGCCACATTGGGGGTTAAATGTCAACATGAGTTTTGGAGAAGACAAACATTCAAACCATAGCACCAGGGTTAGATGTTTAGGTGGATAGATTTACAATTAGCTGTTTTGTTTTGTTTCCTTATCTTTGAGGCAAAGAGTTGGACTGCAATGGCCAAGGCAAAGATGAGGACTGAGAAGGAAGGCAAAAACCTTTCTGGTTTGTCCTTCTCCCCCATATCCCCCCTGTCCCCCACCGATTCTTCTACGTCCTCAGCTCCACACAGGGCCCACAGTTCTTGAGTTAATTAGAAATGCTTGAGGAGCGTGGAGTAATGGTAGTAGATTACATCTCTCAAGGCTCCATAGAACATGATGTCACATGGGATTATGAAATGCATTATTTATTTCAAACACAACTTGCCTCCAGGCAGGCAGTTCAGCCTTTCCACAGTCTGTCCATGCTATTACTCTAGTCAAGGACATGGAAGCTAATATTTATACGCTGGATATTCAAGAAAAATTATACATTCAAGTGTGTGCTTGAGGTTGATGGGCAATTTGAGGCTGTATGGCATTTTTTTAAAATAATAAGACCCAGAGTTCTCATCCTATCCCTTTTAGAAAATTTCCAGGAAGAAGGAACATTATTCTTTCGTACAATTTGTCTGTTTCTTTGCTCGTTGTCATTCATGTGGATATGAAATGCGTCATATCCTGGATGCTTTGTGAATAAAACGCAATTTCCAGCTGTGGTATGAAGCCTTCGGGGTAGACTTTGAGCTCACAGAGTCCAACGTGACAAGGAAAACACATTTTTTAACTACTTACAGTTTGTGCAGTAGCTCAAACCCAGAGAAGGAGGCACATGTGCAGGGGAGACCTATTGTTTTGCTTATCTTAGAGTCCTGAAGGGTGGGGCTGGTCAAGAAGGTGAAGATCCCCATGTGAATAGCTTAGGTGAGAGAGGTAAGGATAAAGAAGAGTTAAACTGCACTGCATAGTAATGTTGGCATTGCTTCCTGAGGCTTGGGGGAAAAGTGGAGACTGTGGAAGGGGAAGTGGGAGGAAATGGGTCCTAGCCATATAGGGGAAAGAGGAGCCCATAGAAGGACATATGAAGCAATGGGAAGGGAGGGTGGAGGCCAGTACTCCGCCCATACAGAGAAAGAGAACCCAACAAGCACATGCATGAGGTGCTTTCAGCTGCCTGGAGGCAGCAGGCTCTGTGCCTGCTGAGAAGAAGTCAGCAGGAGAAGTCAGAGTCCCCCAGAAGTTGAGCCCAAGGCAGGGATTTGAGTACAAGTAGATGATTAGGGAGGTGATCCCAGGAAACACTGGGAAGGGGTAGTGGAGTGAGCAATAGAGGGATGATAGGAAGTGTTAATGGGCAGGACAGGACCCTGGGCAACTGGGGCTCAATCGTGTGGGATAACTCTGGGAGACAGGGTAGAACACCCCTGGGAGTTACACCCCAGAGGGGAAAAGGAGCTGGATTATTTATCCAATTCTCACACATCATTGGCTGAAGGCCACTCCCAGGGACACACACTCCTCACACCTTCCAGCCCGCCCATCCCTGGTGGATAGAAAACCCTCCAGCACAAAGGCCCAGGAGCTCACAGTGGAGTACAGTTGGTGTGACCTGGAACAGTCAGTTTCAAGAGCTTAGGCTGGTCACTGATGGCTTCTGCTACAAGCAGTGGAGACAGGGACTCCACAAAGGGAATCACTAACTACTCTGCTAATATGTCCCGTTTATAATATAGCCTGTTTGAAGCTTGGCCATGTGAAGGTAGAGATTTAGACGACAAAAAAATCAAAGACTTGGGAGACTAAAATTCGGATCTGGGAGACTCAAATCATCCAGTTCAAACCCATTATTTTACCGGAAACCACAGCCCAGAGGATTCGATGGCACCCTTTTGTCCATACAGCCAGATGGAGGCAGGAGATGAGAGAGGACCAGAACACCTAGGCTGAGAATGCTTGAGCGAAATGATCACGGTGGCCAGTTGGCATGGTTGCTGAAAAATTCATAGACTGAGCACCTCCAGGTCCTCACTGTTCACATGTGTTCACTTAATGTGTCTTTGCAGGGCACTCACCATGGCCCAGCCACTGCTCTGGGCAACAGGGATACCTGAGGGTGAAAAGAAACTCACCCTCAAGAATCTCACCTTCTAGAGGGAGAGACAGATAAGGAACCAAGAAATATGTAAAATATGTAATATGTTAGGTACCAACAAGCACTAAGAGAAAAAATAAAGCAGGAAAGGGTGAGGGGGTGACCAGGGGTGTAAGTGTGTGCACTGTCAGATGGGTTGTTTGAGAGAGCCCATTGAAAAGGAGGCATCTGAGCAAGGACTTGAAGGAAGTGTGGGAGGAAGCCACGTAGACCGCCTGAAAGGGCAATGCAAGCAAAGGAACAGTGAATGCAAAGACTCCGAGGTGGGATGCAACTTGGACAGCATGCTCTTCCAGGGGCCAGTGCAGCTGGTACAGAGGGAATAAAGGGGACACGAGGAGGAAGGTAAGCCAGATGGGAGGCACTGTAAAGACTCTGGCTTTTCCTAAGCAAGACAAAAGCCCCTACGGGGTTCTAGGTAGAGAAGGGACAGGATCTGAGTGAGCTGTTTCACTCTGCCAACTGAAGACAGGAACAGGGACATAAGAAGTGAGACCAGTCAGGAACAGGTACTATAATCCAGTGGTGAGGTTACAGTGGCACATTCCAAGGTGGTAGCAAGGGAGGGAATGGGATCAGATGAGAAGTGCATCACTTGTAAGAGAAAGTATAAGTAAAACATGCATTTGTTCCCAAAGCGATGTTACAGAGATCCATGTCATAAAAACCTAAATGGCAAGAAGAGAGCCAGGCATGGACACTGCCAGTATGAGACATGAACTCAGAGAGGCAAGAAGAGGGGTGCCCAACTTGGCCAATGCCTCACTCCTTCCTCCCATTTCTTTGCTTATGGCAAAGACCCTCCTTGCACTGTCACTGTTTTCCCCCTGAAGTGCTGACATGGTTTGGATGTGTGTCCTCTCCAAATCTCATATTGAAGTGTGATTCCCATGTTGAAGGTGGGGCCTGGTGGGAGGTGATTGGATCATGGGGGTGGATCCCTCATGAATGGCTTGGTGCATTCCCAGGGGTGATGAGTGAGTTCTTGCCAGTTGTTTACAGGAAATCTGGTTGTTTAAAAGATTCTGGGAGCTCTCCCTTCTGTCTTGCTCCCTCTCACCATGTGACACCACCAGCTCTCCCTTACCTTCTACCATGATTGGAAGCTTCCTGAAGCCCTCACCAGAAGCAGATGCTGGTGCTATGTTTCTTGTACAGTCTTCAGAACCGTGAGCCAAATAAACCTCTTTTCATCATAAATTACCCAGTCTCAGGTATTCCTTTATAGCAATGCAAACCACCAAACACAAGTGTCCACACCTGTAAGATGCCCACAGCTAGAGCTTGGATTGCAACCTTCCTGTTAAATTTCTTAAGGCCAATTAAACCTATGTTCACTGGATATTGAATTACAGGGGGTCCCAAAGTCAGCATTGCCTCATTTATTTCCACACATCTCCCAAAGCTGGTTAGCGTGATGGTCTTTGAGACCCAACTGGTGGGCTCCTGAGTTTCCTTCTGCCCCTTTCTGTAGGGTAAGCGTGAGCTGTTATTTGATGCTTGCTTTACTTTTTTTAAGTAAAAGCTGTTCTTAAAGTGACTGACGTGACTTTCCACTTAGTCTTTTGCAGCTTAATAGTGAACGCCCTCAGAAGGACCAGTCTCTATTTGAACTGA